>NC_000023.11:77917087-78220117 GCF_000001405.40 Homo sapiens | reverse complement strand
ATTCATTCTTTTTTCTTTTTGCTCTGCATATTCAATAATTGTAAATGTCTTGCCTTCAAGTTCAATGACTCTTTATTCTGTCTGCTTGAGTCTGCAGTTAGACCTCTCCAGGGAATTTTTCAATTCAATTGTAGTATTTTTCAGATTCAGAAATTGTTTGCTTTCTTTTTATAATTGGATATCTTTGAAGATATTCTCCTTTTGTGAATATATCACTTTCCTGATTTCTTTTTGATCCTTATCCGTTTTCTTTTAGCTCCTTGAGCATATATACAACTGCTGTTTTCCCCTCAACAAACTAGGCATTGAGAAAACATACATCAAAATAATAAGGGACATATATGACAAACCCACAGCCAACATCATACTGAATAGGGAAAAGCCAGAAGCATTCCCCGTGAAAACTGGAACAAGACAAGGATGCCCTCTGTCACCACTCCTATTCAACATAGTACTGGAAGTCCAAGCCAGAACAATCAAGCAAGAGAAAAAAAAATAAAAGACATCCAAATAGGAAGAGAGGAAGTCAAACTATTTCTGTTTGCAGGTGATATGATCCAATACCTAGAAAACCCCATGGTTTCTGATAATAAGCTCCTTGATCTGATAAGCCACTTTAGCAAATGTTCAGAATACAAAATTAATGTACAAAAGCAGTATCATTCCTATACACCAACAACATCAAAGCTGAGAGGCAAATATAAATGCAATTCTATTTACAATAGCCAAAAAAAGAATAAAATACCTAGAAATAGACTAATTATAAAACTCTACAATGAGAATTACAAAACACTTCTCAGTGAAATCAGTGATGACACAAACAGATGGATAAACATTCCACGTTCATGGATAGGTAGAATAAATATGTTAAAAGGGCCAAACGGCCAAAAGCAATTTACAGATTCAATGCTATTCCTATCAAAGTACCAATGTCATTCTTCACAGAACTAAAAATAAGTATTCTAAAATTCATACAGAACCAAAAAAGAGCCCAAATACCCAAGACTTTCCTAAGCAGAAAGAACGAAGCTTGAAGTATCACCTTATACAACTTTAAACTATTCTACAATGCTACAGTAACAAAAACAGCATGGTACTGGTACAAAAACAGACACATAGACCAATGTGACAGAAGAGATAGCCCAGATAATGCCACACACCTGCTACCATCTGATCTTTGACAAAATCTACAAAAATAAGCAATGGACAAAGGATTCCCTATTCAATAAATGGTGATGAGATAATTGATTAGCCATATGCAGAAGACTGAAACTGGACCCCTGTTTTATACCATATATAAAATTAACTCAAGATAGATTAAAAACTTAAATCTAAAACCAAAAACTAGAAATACCCTGGAAGATAACCTAGGAAATACCATTTTTGACATAAGACCTAGCAAAGACTTTATGAAAAAGACACCAAAAGTATTTGCAACAAAAATGCACCTTGACAAATGGGACCTAATTAAACTAAAGAGCTTCTGCACAATAAAAGAAACTATCAACAGAATAAACAGACAAGCTAGAGAATGGAGAAAATGTTCACATACTGTGCATCCATTAAAGGACTAATATCCAGAATCTATCAAGAACTTTAACAAATTTACAAGTGAAAAGCAAACAACATGATTAAAAAGTGAGCAAAGGACATGGAAAGACAGTTTTCAAAACAAGGTATTCATGCAGTCGATGAGCATATGAATAAATGCTCAACATCACTAATCATTAGAAAAATTCAAATCAAAATGACAATGAGATACCACCCCCCTCCAGTCAGAATGGCTATTATTAAAATGTCAAAAAATAACAGATGCCAGTGAAGTTGTGGAGAAAAAAGAATGCTTATACACTGCTGGTGGGAATGTAAACTAGTTTAGCCATTGTGGAAAGCAGGTTAGTGATTTCTCAGAAGAACTTAAAACAGAATTACCATTTGACCCAGCAGGACCATTGTTGGGTGTATAGCCAAAGGAATATATTGCTCCCCTGTAAGAAGCAATAATGTTAATTACCCACAGGTTCTGTTGGCTCCAGGCTTTCAGCATTATGTTTGTATTGAATAAAAGCAAAGAAATCCAGCTTATCGGGACTGCTCACTCTTCAGCAATCCCCTAGCTGCTTTTTCACTTCATACTTGTGTCTGAGTACTCCTTTCATCCGTCACTTGGCCAGGGTCTGCAGGATGGACTTGGCAGGTGGTATTCATGTAAGGGATGCTGCAATAGATCGTGACGGAACCCTCAAAAATGAAGGTGAATAGACTGCATAGTCAGTAAGTCATTGGTGCCCACTCGGGATTTCCAAGCTAGAGGGAATTTTCAAGCTAGGGTTTCATCATGGGACAACAGTTATCAGCTCAACAGAAACAGTATACAAAAGTATTGAAACAGCTACTTAAAGCTAGTGGAGTCTCAGTCTCGCAGGCTTAATTAAGGGACCTAATGCAAACTGTTGTTTCCTATAACCCATGGTTCCTGGAAGAAGGCAGGCTAGACCTAGAGCTCTGGGAACAAGTGGGGAGAAATCTTAAACAACATCATGCACAAGGGCAACAGGTCCCAGTAACATATTTAACATTATGGGCCTTAGGGCTGCTTTGGCCCCACTCTATGCAGAAAAGCCTAAAAAGGGAAGAGAGGAGGAACCATCACCTACCTTACTGCCTCCTCCTCCTCCTTCAGCCCTGCCATTACTGGGTAAAGATACCAAAGAGGAAACAGATTTTTCCTGAGCCCCCTCCTCCAATAAATTGGAAAAAAGACAAGGGATACACTACAGTCATGGGACCTTGTCTTAGGCAAGCGGCGTTAGAAGGGGAGCACCTGGCTTGTCGCATGATGCAAGATCAAGAAGGCAATTGGGTACAGAAGCCTATTACTTTTAACACTTATAAGGAAATAAGAAAAGGAGAAAATGGAGCTGCTAGCCAATTTAGGAAAGGTTTAATTGAGGCCATAGCAAATTTTACTGGCTTATTGGATACGGGGGCAGATATTTCGACCATTAGTGATCAAAACTGGCCAGAAACTTGGCCTTGGGTCACTCAGAAACAAAAAATCGTCGGCACTGGGGAAGTACACACAGCCAAGCAGAGCACGTGCCCCCTAACATCTAGTGATTCAGAGGAAAGGAAAGCAGTCATACAACCTCTAATCATGCCCATCGCTGTTAATCTTTGGGTATGGGACTTATTAGCCCAACGGGGGGTCACTCTGCAGACCCCTTTCTGATAATGGCCACTGTTGCAATTCCTCCACTACCCCTAACATGGCTCCCTCAAAATCCTATTTGAGTAGAACAGTGGGCTTTAAAGGGAGAGAAATTACAAAGAGCCCATGAATTAGGGAACAATTAAAAGCCGGCCATATAGAACCATCAAACGTCCCTTGGAATTTGTCCATTTTCGTCATTCCCAAAAAGTCTGGTAAATGGAGACTTTTGCATGACTTATGTGCTATCAATGCTAATTTGCAACCTACGGGACCCCTTCAACAGGGCCTCCCTTCCCCCGTGGTGATTCCTTGAGGTTGGCCTATGGTCATTATTGACTTAAAAGACTGCTTTTATACTATTCCCCTTGCAAAACAGGACAGAGAAAAATTTGCATTTACAATACTAGTTATCAATAATGAAAGGCCAGCTTGCCAATTTCATCGGAAAGTACTTGCTGAGGAATGCTAAATAGTCCTACCATGTGTCAGTATCATGTAAATCAAGCTTTGCTCCCCAGTAGAAAGGAATTTCCTAATTGCAAGATTATCCATTTTATGGATGATATATTACTGGCAGCCACAACAGAGCCAATACTTTTAAATATATATGCCTCTGTCAAAAATAATACACACTTAAGAGGTTTAATCATAGCACCTGAAAAAGTACAGATGTGCTCTCCTTGGAAATATCTTGGATACATACTAACTACTCAGTCAGTGAGACCTCAGAAGGTTAAATTAAATACTAACAACTTACACACTTTAAATGATTATCAAAAATTACTGGGCAATATTAACAGGCTTCACCCCACCTTGGGCATAACTACTAACAGATTACAAAACCTGTTTTGTATCCTAAAGGGCAATGCGGCCCTGAAGTCCCTCAGGTGTTTAACCCCTGCTGCAAAAAGGGTAATTGAGGAAATAGAGCAAGCTATTCCTCAGAGGCAACTAGATCGCATAGACCCATGATATTCGGTCCAATTGTTTGTTTTTCCTAATAAACATTCCCCAACAGGATTAATAGGACAGATGGCCCCAGGGCTATGCTTCCTAGAATGGGTTTTTTGCTCTCATACCAGGACTAAAACACAATCTCCCTATGTCCAGCTAGTTAGTAAAGTCATCTATACAGGCCACAGATGATGCAATCAATTGCTAGGTTATGACTCTGATATCATAAGAAGTCCCTTAAGTAAAAAACAATTCGAAGCAGTCCTGCTCCTATCTCTAGAGCTGCAAATAGCACTCTGATTATGTGGTCCTTGTAGAACATGCCCTTCCCACTGACAAACTACTCCAGTTCTTACGTCGTACTCCTGTAGTTATGCCTACAAAGGTAGCACACTCTCCCATACCTAATGCTTTAACACTTTTTACTGATGGCTCTGGGAAAAATAGAAAAGCAGCTATCTGGTGGGAACCACATAACTCCCTCACTTGATCTGGATTTACTAGTACTCAAAGAGCTGAGGTTGGAGTCCTAATATTGGCCCTAGAAAACTTTTCTGCTCAGCCCATCAATATTGTTAGTGACTCTCCTTACCCCGTTTATTTATTGCAGAACCTAGAAACAGCCCTCATTAAGTCCACTCTTGAGCCCACCCTGTGTGCACTTTTTCTTTGACTTCAGCAATTGCTAGATCAACGTACACATCCTATTTTTATTACACACATTTGGGCCCACAGCTCACTGCCTGGCCCACTGGCTTATGGCAATGATCAAGCAGATCTGCAGGTTATGATATCACTGCTTGACCAAGCCACCCAATCACATCAATTCTTCCACCAAAACTGGAGAAATTTATCTAAACAATTTCAACTTACCCAAGGACTAGCTAAACAAATTATTTTCCAATGCCCAGATTGCCAGCTCACAGGCACGTCCCCTCCTTCAACAGGTGTTAACCCTAGAGGACTAGAACCTAATCAGTTATGGCAAACATGTTACGCACATCCCTGAATTTGGAAAACTAAGATATGTACATGTATTCACTGATACCTATTCCCACCTAATTAGCACCCATGCTCTTCCTGGAGAGTCCACCCAATATGTCATTAAACATCTTCTCTTAACATTTGCATTTATGGGGCAGCCCACAAAAATTAAAACTGTTAATGATTTGGCTTATGCCAGCTCACAATTTCACCAATTTTGTCACACGTGGAACATCCAACATTCCACAGGCATCCTGTATAACCCCCAAGGACAGGCCATAGTAAAATGTGTCCACTCCACCCTTAAAAATATGCTCAGAAAACAAAAAAGGGGGACTGTGAGTAAGGACCCTGCAACACTATTGGCACAAGACTTATTTACCCTTAATTTTTTAAATTTAGATGATAAATTTCAATCAGCCATAGAAAAGCACTTTGCAAAAATCACTCAAGATATAAAACCTTCAGTGCTATAGAGTGATGTAAATAGTAATGAATGGTGTGGCCCAAATGATTTGCTAATGTGGGGAAGAGGATATGTTTGTGTTCACACCCCCTCAGGTCCTCTTTGGATTCCAGTACCATGCATCAAACCTTACCATAGTGTGGCTAAGACCCAACCCGATACCAGAAATGAAGGAAATGACCCTGCAGAACCTGCAGCTCCAGATGATGTGGCTTCCTCGGACAACAAAGGCCCCAGACATTATGCTGAAGACAACTCAGGAGGCTAAGTGAATCCTGCTCTAGACACAGACACCATTCACTGCAGATAATTTGTTCCTTGCTATGCTTTCTGTTTTACATTGCAACCCTCATAGGGTATTAACCTTTTTTAATTATCTCACTTTGCCTGCTACCAGTACCTGCTACTCTATTAGGCCCATCTTCTAGATCTGCTTTCCTTATGCTGAGTTCCTGAGTGAACACCCCCTTCCTAGCCTCTAATAAGGTAACTACTTGGCTATGAGGGATTGACATACCCCCAGTGGGGCTCCTTAGTAAGGGCACACATTGGACTGAGGTGCCAAGTAACATTACATATCACTCCTTAATTGGAAAAAAACTAATGCTGATTATATTCATGTTTGTCTCATGTTATCTACTAATTTTAAGATGCAAAGCCAGAAAATAAGCTGTAACTGCTACACCTGACAAACCTGTTGCTGCACACATCTGTACTCTTCAATCAACAAGACCTGATGAAAAAAAGGAGGGGGGGAGATGTGGGGAATCGGTTAGAGTGCTGGAAGAAGCTATAGGGAAAGAAGCAGGCCTCTTGAAAGGTTAGAAGGTTCTGCAAAGCTTTTTGGGAGAATAAGCTGAAGGCAACTGTTCTCTTACCCTGAGGCAGAGGGCGAGAAGTAGGTGCAAGGAAATGTAGAGGAGTTTATCTAAATAGCCTTGTTTACTTATCTTGTCTGGGAACTGACCTTTGACCATCAGTGTGCGAGACTGCTCCCTGTAAGGGGGAGCGATAATGTTAATTACCCACAGATTGTGTTGGCTCCAGGCTTTTGGCATTATGCCTGTACTGAATAAAAGCAAAGAGCTCCTGCTTATTGGGACTGCTCACTCTTCAGCAGTTCCCTAGCCACTTTGTCACTGTATACCTGTGTCTGAGTACTCCTTTCATTCGTAGCTTGGCCAAGGTCTGTGAGATGGACCCGGCATAAAGTCATCATTAGTTTTATTTTTGGCTGTTTGTTTGCTTATACAAACAGTGCTAAGTTTTGTTTTGTTTTGTTTCATTTTGGGGGTTTGAGGGCTTTTTTTTCAAAGCTTCCCTGAAGAAAAAGTGTTAAACTGTTGTCAGCTTAAAATAATAAGATAATATTTGTGAGCCTCACGGTAACCACAAATCAAGAAACATAGAACAAATGCAAAATAACAAGAAAATAAATCATATCACCAGAGAAAATTGCCTTCACTAAAAGGAAAACAGAAAGAAAAGAAAGAAGAAAGAAAAGAACACAAAACAACCAGAAAACATATGGTGAAATTGCAGGAGTAAATGCTTACTTAATAATAATATTAAATGTAAAGGGACTAAACTCTCCAATCAAAAGACAAAGAGTGGCTGAATGGATAAAAACACGAGACCTATTGATCTGTTGCCTACAAGAAATATACTTCATCTATAAAATATATAGAGACCACAAATAAAAGAATAGAAAACTATATTCCATGCCAATGGAAACAAAAAAAAAGAGCAGGAGTAGCTATACTTATATCAGGAAAAATAGATTTCAAGAAAAAGACTATAAGAAGAGACAAAGAAGGTCACTATGTAATGACAAGAACTAATACCAATCGTACTGAAACTATTCTGTAAAATAGAAGAGAAGCAAATGCTTTCAAACTCATTGTAGGAGGCCAGAATTACCCTGACCTTAATACCAAAGACACGTCAAATAAAGAAAACTGAAGGCCAATATTTGTGATGAATATTGATGCAAAATCCTCAATAAAGTATGAGCAAACCAAATTCAACAATACATTAGAAAGATCATTCATTATGACCAAGTGGAATTTATCCTAGGGATACAAGGATAGTTCAACATATGCAAATCAAGCAATGTTGTATGTCTTATCAATAGAATGAAGAACAAAAACCATTTATTTCAACTGATGCTGAAAAAGGTTTTGATATATTCGACATCCCTTGATAATATAAAAGATCCTCTCAAAAATACTGGACAGAGAACATACCTCAACATAATAAAATTCATGTATGACATACCTATAGCTAGTATCATACTGAATGGGGAAAAACTGAAAGTCTTGCCTCTAATATCTGCAACAGAACAAGGATGCCCACTTTTACCACTGTTATTCAACATAGTAGTGGAAGTCCTAGCTAGAACATTCAGACAAAATAAATAAATAAAGGACATCCAAAGTGGAAAAGAAGAAGTCAAATTATTCTTGTTTGCAGATAATATAATCTTATGTTTGGTAACATCTAAAGACTCCACCAAAAAACTATTAGAACTAATAAACTATTAATAATTCAGTAAAGTTGCAGGTACAAAATCAGCATACAAAAACCAATAGCATTGCTATATGTCCACAGTGAACAATGTGAAAAAATAATCCCATTTGCAATGACTACAAATAAAATTAAATATCTAGTAATAACTTAAACTGAATGATTCCCCATAATAAAAATTATAAAACACTGATGAAAGAAATTAAAGAGGACACCAAAAAGTGAACAGATATTCTATTTTCATTGATTCAAAAAAATAATATTGTTAAAATGTCTACATTACCAAAAGCAATCTACAGATTCAGTGCAATCCCTATCAAAATACCAAAGACATTCTTCACAGACATAGAAAAAAAATCCTGAAATTTATATAGAACCACAAAAGACTTAGAATAGCCAAAGTTATCCTAAGAAAAAATAACAAAACTGGAGGAACTACATTACCTGACTTCAAATTATACTGCAGAGCTATAGTCACCAAAACAGCATGGTATTAGCATAAAAACAGAGACACAGACCAATAGAACAGAAAAGAGAACCCAGAAACAAATCCACTCACCTACAGAAACTCACTTTTTATGAAGGTGGCAAAAATATACACTGAGGAAAAGACAGTCTCTTCAATAAATGGTTCTGGGAAAACTAGATATCCATATGCAGAAGAATGAAGCTGGACTCCTATCTCTCACCATACTAAAAAAAATCAAAATGGATTAAAGACTTAAGTTTAAGACTTCAAACTATAAAACTGCTACAAGAAAACATTGGGGGGACTCTCCATGACATCAGTCTGAGCAAAAATTTCTTGAGCAATACCCCCACAAACACAGGCAACCAAAGCAAAAATGGGCAAATGCGATCACAACAATTTAAAAAGCTTCTGAATAGCAAAGGATGCAATCAACAAACTGAAGAGACAACCCACACAATGGGAGAAAATACTAGCAAACTACCCATCTGACAAGGGATTAAAGGGGATTAATAACCTGAATATCAAATTATTTCTTATCAACTCTATAGGAAATAATCTAATAATCTGATCAAAAAATGGGCAAAAGATCTGAATAAACATTTCTTCAAAAGAAAACATATAAATTGCAAACAGGTATATGAAAAGGTGCTAAACATCATTGGTCATCAGAAAAATGCAAATCAAAAGTACAATGAGATAGTATCTCAGCCCAGTTAAAATTGCTTATATACAAAAGACAGGCAATAACAAATGCTGGTGAGGATGCGGAGGGAAAAAATAAAACCCTTTTACACTGTTGGTGGAAATGTAAATTTGTACAACCGCTATGGAGAACAGTTTGGAGGTTCCAAAAAAATCTGAAAATAAAGTTATCATATGTTCCAGTAATCCCACTGCTGAGTATATACCCAAAAGAAAAAAAAATCAGTATATCAAAGATGCGTCTACACTCCCATGTTTACTGAAGCACTATTCACAACAGGCAAGATTTGGAAGCAACCTAATTGTCCATAAACAGATGAATGGATAAATAAAATGTGGTACTTATACACAGCAAAGTACTATTAAGCCATAAAAAAAATGAGATCTTATCATTTGCAATGACATAGATGGAACAAGAGGTCACTATGTTAAGTGAAACAAGCCAAAGACAGAAAAACAAATATGGCATATTTTGATTTATTTATGGGATAAGAAAATAAAAAAATTAAACTCATGGAGATAGAGAGTAGGTGGATGGTTATCAGAGATGGGAAATGGTAGTTAGGGTGGGGGAAAGGTGAGGATCATAATGTGCACAAAAAAATAGTTAGAAGGGATGAAGACCTGCTGTCTGCTAGCACAACAGGATAACTATAGTCACATACACAATTAAACAACAATTTAATTGTGCATTTTAAAATTTTATTTTAAGTTCTGGGATACATGTGCAGGACGTACAGGTTTGTTACACAGGTAAACGTTTGCCATGGTGGTTTGCTGTACCCATCAACCCATCACCTAGGTATTAAGCACCGCAGGCATTAGCTATTTATCCTGATGCTCTCCCTCCCCCCAACCCCCTGACAGGCCCCAGTGCGTGTTGTTCCCCTCCCTGTGTCCATGCTTTCTCATTTGTCAGCTCCCACTTGTAAGTGAGAACACAGGGTGTATGGTTTTCTGTTCCTGTGTTAGTTTGCTAAGAATAATAACCCTCAGCTCCATCCATGTCCCTGCAAAGGACATAATCTCAGTCCTTTTTATGGCTGCATAGTATTCCATGGTGTATATGTGCCACATTTTCTTTATCCAGTCTATCATTCATGGGCATTTGGGTTGATTCCATGTCTTTGCTATTGTGAATAATGCTGCAATTAACATATGCATGCATGTATCTTTATAATAGAATAATTTATATTTCTTTGGGTATATACATGGTAATGGGATTGCTGGGTCAAATGGTATTTCTGCTTCTAGGTCTTTGAGGACTCACCACACTGTCTTCCAAAATGGTTGAACTAATTTACATTCCCACCAACAGTGTAAAAGCATTCCTATTTCTCCACAGCCTAGCAGCATCTGTTGTTTCTTGACTTTTTAATAATCGCCATTCTGACTGGCATGAGATGATATCTCAATGTGGTTTTGATTTGCATTGCTCTAATGATCAGTGATATTAAGCTTTTTTTCATATGTTTGTTAGCCACATGAATGTCCTCTTTAGAGAAGTGTCTGTTCATGTCCTTTGCCCACTTTTAACGGAGTTTTTTCTTGTAAATATGTTTAAGTTCCTAATAGATTCTGGATATTAGACCTTTGTCAGATGCATAGATTACAAAAATTTTCTCACATTGGCTAGGTTGTCTGTTCACTCTGATGATAGTTTCCTTTGCTGTGCAAAAGCTCTTTAACTTAATTAGATCCCTTTGTAAATTTTGGCTTTTGTTGTCATGCTTTTGAGGTTTTTGTCATAAAATATTTGCCTGTGCCTATGTCCTGAATAGTATTGCCTAGATTTTCTTCTAAGGTTTTTATAGTTTGGAGGTTTTTTTATTATTATTATTATACATTAAGTTCTGGGATACATGTGCAGAACATGCAGGTTTGTTATATAAGTATACACGTACCATAGTGGTTTGCTGCACCCATGAACCCATCATCTACATTAGGTATTTCTCCTAATGTTCTCCCTCCCATAGCCCCCCACCCCCAACCAGCTCCAGTGTGTGATGTTCCCCTCCCTGTGTCCACGTGTTCTCATTTTTCAACTCCCACTTATGAGTGAGAACATACTCTGTTTGGTTTTCTGTTCCTGTGTTAGTTTGCTGAAAATGATGGTTTTCAGCTTCATCAATGTCCCTTGCAAGGGCTTGAACTCATCCTTTATTATGGCTGCATAGTATTCCATGGTGCATGTGTGCCACATTTTCTTTATCCAGTCTATCATTGATGGAAATTTGGGTTGGTTTGAAGTCTTTGCTATTGTGAGTAGTGCTGCAATAAACATACGTGTGCACGTGTCTTTATAGTAGAATGATTTATAATCCTTTGGGTATATACCCAGTAATGGGACTGCTGGGTCAAATGGTATTTCTGGCTCAAGATCCTTGAGGAATCACCACACTGTCTTCCACAATGGTTGAACTAATTTAGACTCCCACCAACAATGTAAAAGCATTCCTATTGGCCGGGCGTGGTGGCTCATGCCTGTAACTCCACCACTTTGGGAGGCCAAGGCGGGCGGATCATGAGGTCAGGAGATCAAGACCATCCTGGCTAACATGGTGAAACCCTACTACTAAATAATACAAAAAATTAGCCAGGCATGGTGGCAGGTGCCTGTAGTCCCAGCTACTCGGGAGGCTGAAGCAGGAGAATGGCGTGAACCCGGGAGGCAGAGTTTGCAGTGAGCCAAGATCATGCCACTGCACTCCAGCCTGGATGACAGAGCGAGACTCTGTCTCATGACGAGTTAATGGGTGCAGCACACCAACATGGCACACATATACATATGTAACTAACCTGCACGTTGTGCACATGTACCCTAAAACTTAAAGTATAATAAAAAAATAAAATAAAATACATCTATATTTATATAACAAAAAAATAAAAAGCATTCCTATTTCTCCACATCCTCTCCAGTATCTGCTGTTTCCTCACTTTTTAATGATTGCCATTCTAACTGGTGTGAGATGGTATCTCATTGTGGTTTTGATTTGCATTTCTCTGATGACCAGTGATAATGAGCATTTTTTCATGTGTCTGTTGGCTGCATAAATGTCTTGTTTTGAGAAGTGTCTGTTCATATCCTTCGCCCACTTTCTGATGGGGTTGTTTGATTTTTTTCTTGCAAATTTGTTTAAGTTCTTTGTAGATGCTGGATATTAGCTCTTTGTCAGATGAATAGATTGCAAAAAATTTCTCCCATTATGTATGTTGCCTATTCCTGCTGATGATGGTTTCTTTCACTGTACAGAAGTTCTTTATTGTCATTAGATCCCATTTGTCAATTTTGGCTTTTGTTGCTATTGCTTTAGATGTTTTAATGATGAAGTCTTTGCCCATGTATATGCCCTGAATGGTACTGCCTAGGTTTTCTTCTGGGGTTTTTATGGTTTTAGGTCTTACATTTAAGTCACTAATCCATCTTGAGTTAATTTTTGTATAAGTTGTAAGGAAGAGATCCAGTTTCATTTTTCTACACATGGGTAGCCAGTTTTCCCAACAAAATTTATTAAATAGGGAATCCTTTCCCCATTGCTTGTTTTTGTCAGGTCTGTCAAAGATCAGATGGTTGTAGATGTATGGCGTTATTTCTGAGGGCTCTGTTCTGTTCCATTGGTCTATATATCTGTTTTGGTACCAGTACCATGCCATTTTGGTTACTGTAGCCTTGTAGTATAGTTTGAAGTCAGGTAGTGTGATGCCTCCAGCTTTATTCTTTTTGCTTAGGATTGTCTTGGCTATACAGGCTCTTTGTTGGTTCCATATGAACTTTAAAGTAGTTTTTTCTAACTCTGTGAAGAAAGTCAATGGTAGCTTGATGAGGATAGCATTGAATCTATAAATTACTTTGGCAGTATGGCCATTATCATAATACTGATTCTTCCTATCCATGAGCTTGGAATGTTTTTCCATTTGTTTGTGTCCACTCTTATTTCCTTGAGCAGTGGTTTGTAGTACTCCTTGAAGAGTTCCTTTACTTCCCTTATAAGTTGTACTCCTAGGTATTTTATTCTCTTAGTAGCAATTGTGAATGGCAGTTCACTCATGATTTGGCACTCTGTTTATCTATTATTGGTGTATAGGAATGCTTGTGATTTTTGCACATTGATTTTGTATCCTGAGACTTTGCTGAAGTTGCTTATCAGCTTAAGGAGATTTTGGGCTGAGACGATGGGTTTCCTAAATATACAATCATGTCATCTGCAAACAAGAGACAATTTGACTTCCCCTCGTTCTAGTTCAATGCACTTTATTTCTTTCTCTTGCCAATTGCCCTGGCCAGAACTTCCAGTACTATGTTGAATAGGAGTGGTGAGAGAGGGCATCCTTGTCTTGTGCTGGTTTTCAAAGGGAATGCTCCCAGCTTTCGCCCATCCAGTGTGATATTGGCTGTGGGTTTGTCATAAATAGCTCTTATTATTTTGAGATACTTTCCATCAATACCTAGTTTCTTGAGAATTTTTAGCATAAGAAGGTGTTGAATTTTATCAAAGACCTTTTCTGCATCTGTTGAGATAATCATGTGGGTTTTGTCATTGTTTCTGTTTTTGTAACGGTTTACATTTATTGATTTGTGTATGTTGAAACAGCTTTGCATCCCAGGGATAAAGCTGAGTTGATCATGGTGGCTAAGCTTTTTGATTTGCTACTGGATTCGGTTTGCAAGTATTTTATTTAAGACTTTTGCATCAGTGTTCATCAGGGATATTGGCCTGAAATTTTCTTTTTTGTTGTGGCTCTGCCAGGCTTTGGTATCAGGATGATGATGGCCTTGTAAAATGAGTTAGGGAGGATTCCCTCTTTTTCTATTGTTTGGAATAGTTTCAGAAGGAATGGTACCAGGTCCTCTTCATACCTCTGGTAGAATTTGGCTGTGAATCTATCTGATCCTGAGCCCTTTTTGTTGGTAGGCTATTAATTACTGCCTCAATTTCAGAACTTGTTATTGGTCTATTCATGCATTCGAATTTTTCCTGGTTTAGTCTTGGGAGGGTGTATGTGTCCAGGAATTTATCCATTTCTTCTAGATTTTCTAGTTTATTTGTGTAGAGGTGTTTATAGTATTCTCTGGTGGTAGTTTATATTTCTGTGGGATCAGTGGTGACATCCCCTTTATCATTTTTTATTGTGTCGATTTGATTATTCTCTCTTTTCTTCTTTATTAGTCTGGCTAATGTTCTATTTTGTTAATCTTTTTAAAAAACCAGCTCCTGGATTCATTGCTTTTTTATGAAGGGCTTTTCATGTCTTCAATCAATCGTAGGTTTGGGCGTTTTATGAATTCCCATATTTCTTGAAGGCTTTGTTCATTCCTTTTCATTCTTTTTTTCTCTACTCTTGTCTCCATGTCTTATTTCAGTAAGATGGTCTTCAAACTCTGATATACTTTCTTCTGCTTGGTCATTTTGGCTGTTGATACTTGTGTATCCTTCAAGAAGTCCTTGTGCTGTGGTGCTGTGTTTTTCAGCTCCATCTGGTCATTTATGTTCCTCTCTAAACTGGTTATTTTAATTAGCAATTCCTCCAACCTTTTATCAAGGTTCGTAGTTTCTTTGCATTGGGTTAAAACATGCTCCTTTAACTCATCATAGTTTTTTATTATCCATCTTCTGAAACCTACCTCTGTCAATTTGTCAATCTGATCCCCTGTCCAGTTCTGTGCCCTTGATGGAGAGATGTTGCCATCATTTGGAGAAAAGGCACTCTGGACTTTTAGGTTTTCAGCATTTTTTCGTTGATGCTTTCTCATCTTCATGAGATTGTCTAGTTTTGGTTTTTGAGGCTGCGGACCCTTGGATGGGGTTTTGTGTGGGCCCGTGTGTTGTTGTTGTTGATGCTGTTGTTGTTGCTTTCTGCTTGTTTGTTTTTTTTTTCTTCAGTAGTCAGGTTCCTCTTCCATAGGGCTGCTGCAGTTTGCTAGGTGTTCACTTCAGGCCCTATTCATCTGATTCACTCCCGTGCCTGGAGATGTCACTTAAGAAGGCTGGAAAACAGCAAAGATGGGTGCCTGCTTTTCTTCTGGGATATCTGACCTTGAGGGGCACCAACCTGATGCCAGTAGGATTGCTCTTGTATAGGGTGTCTGACAACCCCTGTTGGAGGGTCTCACACAGTTGGGTGGCACAGGGAGTAGGAGATAGGAACAATAGGCACTGGGGACTACTAGAGGGGAGAAGAAGCGAGGGGGCAAGGGTTGAAAAAGTACTCGTTGGGTACTATGCTCAATATCTGGGTAACGGGATCATTCGAAACCCAAACCTCAGCATCACACAATATACCCATGTAACAAATCTGCACATGGACTCTCTGAATCTAAAATAAAAGTTGTAATTATTTAAAAATTACCTATTGTGTATAATCTTCACTATTTGGGTGACGAGTACACTGGAAGCCCAAACCTCATCATTATGCAATATATCCATCTAACAAACTTGAACTCGTACCCCTTGAATCTAAAATTTTTTTAAAAAGAGAAAAATAATAAAAGGCAGCATAATCATGGTTTCATATATTATTTTGCCCTTAACGGGGGGAAATTCTGTGATTTGCCTCAAAATGGATGAATCTCTAGGACATTATGCTAAGTAACATAAGCCAGGCACAGAAAGACAAATGCTGCATGATCTCACTCATATGCGGAATTTAATAAAGCTGAACTCATAGAAGTAGAGAGTAGAATGATGGTTACCAGAAGCTGGAGGATAGGGAGGGAGTGAATGGGGAGTTGTTGATGAAAGGGTGCAACGTTTCAGATGGACAGCAAGAACAGGGTTTAAGATCTGTACACCAGGGTGATTATAGTCAATAATATTGTATTGCATATTTTGAAATAATTAAATTGGCAAATTTCAAATGTCTTACCATAAAAAGATAGGTAAGTGTGGTGACAAATATGTTAATTAGCTTGATTTAAGCGTTCTGCATTTTATGCATATGTCAAAGCATCACATGGTACCTTATAAATGTATATATTTATGATTTGTTAATAAAAGTATTAATTTAGAAAAGAATTTAAACTTAAGGGTACAAAGAAGAAAAGAGGAAACGAAAGTAGAAAATGACACATTAATATTAAAAATGGACTGAGATTCCTAACCATTAAGATGTTTATTCATTGGCAACAAAACCAAACTCTTGATCTTACCTTTATCTGCATTATTTGGTGATGGTCACTTGTTTTGTTTTCCACTTGGTTTCTGCTTGATTTCTTCACCTCCTATAGCACTCTGTTTCTTTCTATGTCTAGTCTCAATCTCAGTACTGGCAGTGTTGGAGTACTGAGAGCATTACCAATGTCAGAAGTGTTGGGAGCATTTTCAGAGATGGAAGTGTTGGGAGCACTGTGAGAAGCGGAAGAGCTTGGCGTACTGTCAAAACTTGATGGTCTGCGAGTACTATCAGATGATCTGGGAGTTCTGTCAGAGGTGGCAGTCTTGGGAGTATGATTAGTGCTAGAAGGGTTCAGAATGCCATCAGAGGTAGCAGGGCTCAGAGTAGTGTCTGAGATGGAAATGCTAGGGACATGGTCAATGGAAGAACTGCTGGGAGCTTTGTCAGCAATGTTAGTGCTTGGAGGGCTGTGAGCAGTGTAAGTACTGGGAGTATTGTCAGTGTAAATGTTTACATTGCTCGCAGTGTAGGTACCTGGAGTATTGTCCACAGTGTAAGCATTCAAAGTATTGTTCACAGTGTAGGTGCTCAAAGTATTGTCAACAGTGTAGGTGCTTGGAGCATTGTCCACAGACTAAGTGCTTGAAGTGTTGTCAACAGTGTAGGTGGTTGGAGCATAGTTAACATTGCTTGGAGTACCAGAAATATTGAAAAAATCATTAGTTTTGTTCACAAGTAAAGAAGTGTTGTTAGCCACATAGCTATTCCTTTGTCCACCAACTTCTCTAGTTTTTTTTCTTCATATGTTCTCCCATTTTAGCAGCTCTTTCATCGAGTTGGTTATAATTTGCTATTCCATGGGAATAGGTTTCTAAAAGAGAAAATGGAATTCTGTTTAATAACTATAATAATTACATATCTCAAGGCTTTTGTTTTTAGAGACAGGGTCTCACTCTGTCACCCAGGCTGGAGTGCAGTGGCGCAATGTCAGCTCACTGCAAGCTCCGCCTCCCAGGTTCACGCCATTCTCCTGCCTCAGCCTCCCGAGTAACTGGGGCTACAGAAAAGAGGTTATTTTTTGACAATAGATAATATATTGACATGGTTCAAAACCATAAAGTATAAATAAGTGTATGATTAAAAGTTTCCCGGCAGGGTGCCATGGCTCACGCCTGTAATCCTAGCACTTTGGGAGGCCGAGGTGGGCGGATCACCTAAGGTAAGGAGTTTGAGACCAACCTGGCCAACATGGTGAAACCCCCTCTCTACTAAAAAAAAAATACAAAAATTAGCTGGGCGTGATGGCGGGCGCCTGTAATCCCAGCTACTCGGGAGGCTGAGGCAGGAGAATCGCTTGAACCTGAGAGGCGGAGTTTGCAGTGAGCTGAGATCGCACCACTGCACTCCAGCCTGGGCGACAGAACAAGACTCTGTCTTAAAAAAAAAAAAAAAAAAAAAAAAAAGTTTCCCTCCTAACCCTATCTGTTCAATACCTTCCCAACAGATAACTACTGTTCTTACTTTCTTATGAATCCTTCCAGAATTTCTTTCTGCCTATACAAGCAAGAATGCATATTCTTATTTTTCTTTTTTTATTACATAAAAGGTAGAATTGTATGATTTTGTAACTTGAACTCAGCATTAATCTTGAAGGCCTCTCTGTATAAGCAGACAGAGCTTCTCTATTATTTTTTTTTTGCATAGTCGAAGAGAGCTCCCTAATGTGAATGTACTATACAGTCACCCGTTGACAAGCATGTGGGCTGTTTCCAGACTTTTGTGGTTATAAACAGTATTGTAATGAATAATCTTGTATATTTTTCATTCCAAATTTGTGAAAATATATCTGTAGGATAAATTTCTTAAAGTGGAATTGGTGGGTGAAAGAATTATGCATTCGTATTTTCATTAGATATTGCCCAATAGATAATTCCATTAAGAATTCAACCACATTAACTTTATTTATTTAGTATGTTATTCATCTCCACAGCTGTGCAATAAACACAACGAAATAAGCCACTAAGGCAAACACTATGAAGAAGCAGAAAAAGTCATATTTTCAATTATAAAAATTTCCTAGGCTATGGAATATCTTATTCGTCTTTATAGGAGTCATAACTTCCTGCTCATTTTAGGCACTTTACAAATATTTAAGGAATTTCTTAAAAGTGCCCCTAGTAGTCTAGGAATGAAATACTTCTGAACTGAAAATGCAAAGTAATTTTAGGAACTAAAGCACACACGTTATCAGAAGACATTAGTGTAACAATTTTAATAGATAAGATGGGTGAAAGTACTGAGAAACCAAAAAAAAAAAGATTAGTGAATATTAAGAGATCCAAATTCGCTGGATGAATTAAACATCGTTTATAAGGCAATCTAAAAGAGGACTGGTTTTAAAGCTTTGGTTAAATGCAATAGCTTTTAGCAATGATGATAACAGTAAAATAAATAAATAAATAACATGCCAGAAGTTCTGATATAGTGACATAATGAAAAATGTTAAATGATAACTTAGAGCTAAACATCAAGTAAAAACCACACTAGCATATCTGAGACGTAGCCAGGAAGAAGATAGACTGATGGCAAAGTACCAGGTGGTGACATCAGAGGTACATCAGCTGATCCTAAAAGAGAATTATTTTAATAAATACTGTAATAACATTAAACAAAGTCCTTTACAGGAGTCAGTTAACTTTGCACAGTCAAAACCAGCTCCAAGCTTTAATAATAGTCAGCTATTTTGAAAATATGTGTTGTTAACTCACAAACATGAGTCAGAGTGTAGATGAGTTGATGAAAATTCATCACAACCAATGGGAAAATAACCAAGGCATGGTTTAAATTTAAATTATAAAAAATATTGGTAATTCCTACTGCTAAGGAAAATCAACTATCATACCAGCCTTCTGGTATAATTGTACCTTTACTTATCTATTGTTTCTCACCCATCATGGTCATATATTGGGTAATAAAAAGTTTATTCTGGAACATAAAATATATTTCTTATAGTGACATTGCCTAATAAAACTTAAATTTTCATTTAAGGCTTTCCATAAATTATACTAAAGTGGTTTTTAGAAAACAGTATATTATAAAGAAGGACCCAATAATACTCATGTGATGCCCTACTTTCATACTATGTATTTTTATTATCTTAAACATATGATTGCATAGTATCTAAAATACAACACAGAATGGAGACTTTTAATGTTGTAATTCTTTTGTTTATCTGAAATTATTATAACTAATGCTTAGTTCTAGAAATGTGGCTTTCAAGTCCTAGAATGGTAATTTACTTTTAATAATGGGAAAATAATAAATATGAATTCATGACAAATTTTGTATAGCAGCAATATGAAATCCATTGCTAGGTGATAATGTTTTTAGAAATTCTTGAGACAGCTCAAAATCCCTTTAGGATACAAAATAATTGGCATAAAACAGTCATCTCATTGAAATAATAATAAAGCTTATATGAAGCAAGTATTTATTTTATATTACTACTGAAACAAGTCTATATGCTATATATTTGCTGTCTACCTATCTATAGAGTGTGTGTGTGGGGGGGGGGGGTGTCTGTATAATCACCCCTTCTACATATTGTTGTATCCTAAGTGTCCAGTAGAGGGCTGGTACATGCTAGACACTGAGTAAATACTTGTTGAATGTATGAATGAATGAGCTGTCTGAAGGCCTTAGCAGTCATCTCCTATAGGAGAATAATCTAAAACTATAATCAGCTATCACTATCTCCAAAATCTGGACTTCAAATAGAATTTTGGAATTAATCTCCTTCAATTTTTAAAAGTACTTTACTTTTGTAGGTCTCTAGTAAGATTAGCATGATTAGCCCTGGTTATTCTATTGATGCTAACCTCCTATGAGGATTATATTTAAGAGCATTTAATCTGTCTCAAACAGTAAGTGGGCTACAGTAAAGTCATTTCACACTAATATTTAAGTTCACTCTATTTGGTATCAAATAACACATGCCTAATTATGCTTTAACTGATCTTGAATATTCTGAATATTCTCATCATCAGACTTGATGGTAAGGGTCTCCCCAGGGTAAACTTGAACCAATATAATCTAGAAATAATTCTTTAATGACTTCCTTTTCTATTACTCTATGAAAAATTATTATCTTTCTGAATGATATTTGGACTCACTAATTATGGGGGTCTCAAAGTGTTCAAGGAGAAGAGTACAATTGGATCAATGGACATTTAGATGAAATTTAATATCCATTAATAGGACCAGATCATTCCCCACCCAAGTAAAATTTAACATAATAAGGTCATTGAAAATGGGTGCATTAGCCAGGTGCAGTGGTTCATGCCTGTAATCCCAGCACTGTGGGAGGCCAAGGTGGGTGAGTTGCTTGAGCTCAGGAGTTTGAGACCAGCCTGGGTAACATGGTGAGAGCCTGTCTCTACTAAAAATATGAAAAATTAGCCGGGTGTGGTGGTGTGTGCCTGTGGTCCCAGCTACTATGGAGGCTGAGGTGGGAGGATCACTTGAACCCTGGGGATGGAGGTTGCAGTGAGCTGACATCATACCACTGCACTCCAGCCTAAGTGACAGAGTGAGACCCTGTCTTAAATAAATAAATAAATAAATAGAAAATGGGTGCATTCCATGGAATACTATGCAGCCATAAAAAGGAATGAGATCATGTCCTTTGCAGGGACATGGATGAAGTTGGAAGCCATTATCCTCAGCAAACTAACGCAGGAACAGACAACCAAACATGCATGTTCTCATTTATAAATGGGAGCTGAACAATGAGAACACATGGACACAGGGAGGGGAACAAGACGCACTGGGGCCTGTTGGGAGAGAGAGGGTGGGGTGGGGTGGAGAGCATCAGGAAAAATAGCTAATGCATGCGGTGCTTAATACATAGGTGATGGGTTGATAGGTGCAACAAACCACCATGGCACGTGTTTACCTATGTAACAAATCTGCACATCCTGCACATGTACCCCAGAACTTAAAATAAAATAAAATGGGTGCATTAACATAGAAAGATCAACTCCTTCTCTGTCCTGAAAAAAACCCCACAAGATGAAACACAAAACAGAGCTTCATATCTGAGGGTAAAATTCAGACATAGTTGTTGCATACAGTACTGAGGACAAGAAGACCATTTGGTATATCTCTTGGGATGAATCAACATTTGTGAATAATTAGCAATATACTGTGTTGCAACAGTGGTGTCTAGATGACTAGATACCAGGACACCAGTTTAAACTGTCTAGACCAGTTTAAAGCTGGACATCTACAATAAGACAATCTCTAATTAGGTTGGGCAGTCAAATTTCATCTTTATAACTCATAGGGATGGATGCATGCTTATTTTATTTACACATGACTTCTGAGAGTATTGCAGGAGTTTTAATCAAAGAAAGCAAATAATAAAAATAGTAGCAGTAGTAATAATAATAACATATATTGCTCTCTTATGACATGCTAGGTACTGTTCTAAACATTATTCATGCATTAGCTCATTTAATCCTTACTATAACCACATGAAGTTATTTTGTAAATGTTTATTATGTTATCATATATTGAGCATCTATTCTGTGATTTGCTTGTTCTGCGATTGTGTGGAATGTACAGTATCTTTCCTTTGCCATCCACCTGCCTCCCCTGAAGTTGCAAAGGTAAGTTTTTCTTCTAAGGAAGGGCATTTAGAAATAAAACAAATAAGGCAATCAATGTAGGTATTTCCCGAGTTCTGGCTTGTACCCTGCACATAGTCCTCCACCCTTACTCTTCGGCCTGCTATTATCATCTGGTGGCCAAAACAAAGAATTGACTTCAGATTTTTTTCCAATTCATTCCCTAACCTAATTCACTCTGTACCCTATTGTTTTCTATATTTATTTTTATTACTTAGTTAATTCTACCACAGACAAGATTTTTCTCACATACCATCTTAATTGTTTGGTCTTTCAACTCTTGCATAATTCCCACAAAAAATTTCTGTCTAATCTGTGAACCTCAAGAGAGAAAAAAAACCTTTTCTTTTTTTGGGGGGGAAGGATGAGGATATTTAATGGCAGCAATATAAGTAAAAATTTTTTTGCCTCTGCATATACTCTTTTTTTTTTTTTTTTTTTTGCTATTACAGCATACTTCTTTTTTTTTTTTTTTAATTCAGGCTGCTCTTGGATCTGTTAACGAGTCTGGGTGCAAGTGGAGGGTACGGTTTGCAACTTGGGGTTATGAAACTAACCACTTCAAACACAATTGTGTGTTCTGAGCCTCTTATGGTTGTTACTCTAAAAATGTAATGACAATTGTAAACTTTCAAATATTTATCCTAACATACATGATAAATTGCAAACTTGGGTTTCAGACATATTTCCTATGAGCTAAGTATAAGAAATTTACTAATAAAAATTTTCTAATAGAGCAAAGTTGAGTCCCTGCAAATAATGATTCTCAAAGCACTCTTACCTGTTCCAAATGAAAGAAAATGAACTAATGCTAGATATTGAGGAGGCTATTTTGAAGCTTGAAGGCAAGGTCACTTTGTTGGCAAATAGTAAGGCAGACTGAAGGAATTATAAGTAGTAACTGATACAGACTGGAGAGTCTGGGGGATATGGGGTGGTGTACTTTGTTTAGAATGAAGTTCTTACCTTAAAAACTAGGCCATGGATGGTTGTAGATCAACTAGGGTAAATGTAACTCCATCACCACTGTGAAGATAATCTTTGTTTACAATGGATCTCACACATATTTAAAAGCTAAGTAAGCAGTGCTAATCGTATATATTCAACTGACAAAAAAAGAGAAGCACAATTGAAATTTGGATAACTTTAACCCATTTTATGTGCATGCAAGATAGTGATTTAATAATTCATTACACTTTATTTGCATACCAAATTAATCCAGCTTTAAGAAATGAAATTTTACTATTTTACCATTGCGCATTCTTCACACTGTAATAGTGCAGACTTCCCTTCAACTAGTTTATTTTAAATAATATAGATATGAAAAGCCTCAAAGAAACCATGAATCATGAAATTTATTCATTCAGTCACCAAGAAAAATTTTCCTGGGGTGGGCACCTATCTGCTACAATGAATAGAGTGACTGCTCCCAAACAAATGCCTTCCTGAGCAAACAGTCACAAGTACCTAGGTGTGTTCTACCACCTTAAGAAACTCCTTCAGGCTACAGACTCTAAAATGTCCTCCAAAAAAAGGTAAAAAGATTGATACTTCCAAGCACAGGCCACTCAGGGTGACCAGAGGTATCGGAAATAATATTTTCAATTAAAAATAATAATTTTTATAAAGTGCATAATACCAGACAAATACCACCATGCAAATTCATACAAAAGACAATTTTACAAATAGCTTTTCATCACGTTACACCTTCCCATCCCCCTATCCAATATAGAAGGTTACATATTGTAATGCTTAGACTTAAAAATTTTAGCTGCTAGTTATAAAATAAATAAAACTGATCATTAAATGCAAATCAAACCACAATGAGATACCATCTCACACCAGTCAAAATGGCTATTATTTTATTGTTTTTGTTTCTTAAATTTTATTTTTACATAAGTTGTTGTGGTACAGGTGGTATTTGGTGACATGAGTAAATTTTTTAGTGGTGATTTGTGAGATTTTGGTGCGTACATCACCTAAGCCATATACACTGCACCATATTTGTAGTCTTTTATCCCTTGGCCCTTCCCACTCTTTCCACCCAAGTCCCCAAAGTCCATCATATCATTCTTATGCCTTTGCATCCTCATAGCTTAGTTCCCACATAACAGTGAGAACATACAATGTTTGGTTTTCCATTCCTGAGTAATTTCACTTAGAATAATAGTTTCCAGTCTCATCCAGGTCACAGCAAATGGTGCTAATTCATTCCTTTTTACGGTTGAGTAGTATTCCATCATATATATATATATATATATATATATATATATATATATATATATATATATATATATATATATACCTACCACAGTTCTTTATCCACTCATTGACTGATGGGCATTTGGGTTGGTTTCACGATTTTGCAATTGTGAATTGTGCTGCTATAAACATGCATGTGCAAGCATCTTTTTCGTATAATGACTTCTTTTCCTCTGGGTAGATACCCAGTAGTGGGATTGCTGGATCAAATGGTAGTTCTACTTTTAGTTTTTAAGGAATCTCTGCACTGTTTTCCATAGCAGCTGTACCACTTTACATTACCACCAGCAGTGTAGAAGTGTTCCCTGATGACTGCATCCGTGCCAACGTTTACTGTTCTTTGATTGTTTGATTATGGCCATTCTTGCAGGAATAAGGTGATATTGCATTGTGGTTTTGATTTGCATTTCCCTGATATTTAGTGATGTTGAGCATTTTTTCTTTTCTAATTTTTAAAGATGTTAAATTTCATTGTCCCAATACCTCTTATTGAATAACCCACATTTTCCTCATGGATATGGAATTTCACATTTATTAAATATCTGTTTTATTTTTATCCATTCATGAACGTTGGTTCTGTTTCATTTCTCTGTGTGTATACTTATTTCCACGCCTAAGAGTTTTAGTTATTCTAGCATTATAAATTTCAATATCTAGGAAAGCACAAATCTCCTGATGGCTTTTCTACTTTTGAATTTCCCTGACTTATTTATGTATATTTATTCTTCAAAAATGTCTTTATTATTATTATACTTCAAGTTTTAGGGTACATGTGCACAATGTGCAGGTTAGTTATACATGTACACATGTGCCATGCTGGTGTGCTGCACCCATTAACTTGTCATTTAGCATTAGGTATATCTCCTAAAGCTATCCCTCCCCACTCCCCCCACCCCACAACAGTCCCTGGAGTGTGATGTTCCCCTTCCTGTGTCCATGTGTTCTCATTGTTCAATTCCCACCTATGAGTGAGAATATGCGGTGTTTGGTTTTTTGTCCTTGCGATAGTTTACTGAGAATGATGATTTCCAATGTCATCCATGTCCCTACAAAGGACATGAACTCATCATTTTTTATGGCTGCATAGTATTCCATGGTATATATATGCCACATTTACTTAATCCAGTCTATCATTGTTGGACATTTGGTTTGGTTCCAAGTCTTTGCTATTCTGAATAGTGCTGCAATAAACATATGTGTGCATGTGTCTTTATAGCAGCATGATTTATAATCCTTTGGGTATATACCCAGTAATGGGATGGCTGGGTCAAATGGTATTTCTAGTTCTAGATCCCTGAGGAATCACCACACTGACTTCCACAAGGGTTGAACTAGTTTACACTCCCACCAACAGTGTAAAAGTGTTCCTATTTCTCCACATCCTCTCCAGCACCTGTTGTTTCCTGACTTTTTAATGATTGCCATTCTAACTGGTGTGAGATGGTATCTCATTGTGGTTTTGATTTGCATTTCTCTGATGGCCAGTGATGGTGAGCATTTTTTCATGTGTTTTTTGGCTGCATAAATGTCTTCTTTTGAGAAGTGTCTGTTCATTTACTTCGCCCACTTTTTGATGGGGTTGTTTGTTTTTTTCTTGTAAATTTCTTTGAGTTCATTGTAGATTCTGGATATTAGCCCTTTGTCAGATGAGTAGGTTGCGAAAATTTTCTCCCATTTTGTAGGTTGCCTGTTCACTCTGATGGTAGTTTCTTTTGCTGTGCAGAAGCTCTTTAGTTGAATTAGATCCCATTTGTCAATTTTGGCTTTTGTTGCCATTGCTTTTTGTGTTTTAGACATGAAGTCCTTGCCCATGCCTATGTCCTGAATGCTAATGCCTAGGTTTTCTTCTAGGGTTTTTATGGTCTTAGGTCTAACGTTTAAGCCTTTAATCCATCTTGAATTAATTTTTGTATAAGGTGTAAGGAAGGGATGAAGTTTCAGCTTTCTACATATGGCTAGCCAGTTTTACCAGCACCATTTATTAAATAGGGAATCCTTTCCCCATTGCTTGTTTTTCTCAGGTTTGTCAAAGATCAGACAGTTGTAGATATGCGGCATTATTTCTGGGGGCTCTGTTCTTTCCATTGATCTATATCTCTGTTTTGGTACCACTACCATGCTATTTTGGTTACTGTAGCCTTGTAGTATAGTTTGAAGTCAGGTAGCATGATGCCTCCAGCTTTGTTATTTTGGCTTAGGATTGACTTGGCGATGCGGGCTCCTTTTTGATTCCATATGAACTTTAAAGTAGTTTTTTCCAATTCTGTGAAGAAAGTCATTGGTAGCTTCATGGGGATGGCATTGAATCTATAAATTACCTTGGGCAGTGTGGCCATTTTCACGATCTTCATTCTTCCTACCCATGAGCATGGAATGTTCTTCCATTTGTTTGTATCCTCTTTCATTTCATTGAGCAGTGGTTTGTAGTTCTCCTTGAAGAGGTCCTTCACATCCCTTGTAAGTTGGATTCCTAGGGATTTTATTCTCTTTGAAGCAATTGTGAATGGGAGTTCACTCATGATTTGGCTCTCTGTTTGTCTGTTATTGGTGTATAAGAATGCTTGTGATTTTTGTACATTGATTTTGTATCCTGAGACTTTGCTGAAGTTGCTTACCAGCTGAAGGAGATTTTGGGCTGACACAATGGGGTTTTCTAGATATACAGTCATGTCATCTGCAAACAGGGACAATTTGACTTCCTCTTTTCCTAATTGAATACCCTTTATTTCCTTCTCCTGCCTAATAGCCCCAGCCAGAACTTCCAACACTATGTTGAATAGGAGTGGTGAGAGAGGGCATCCCTGTCTTGTGGCAGTTTTCAAAAGGAATGCTTCCAGTTTTTGCCCATTCAGTATGACATTGGCTGTGGGTTTGTCATAGATAGCTCTTATTATTTTGAGATATGTCCCATCAATAACTGATTTATTGAGAGTTTTTAGCATGAAGTTTTGTTGAATTTTTTCAAAGGCCTTTTCTGCATCTATTGAGATAATCATGTGGTTTTTGTCTTTGGTTCTGTTTATATGCTGGATTACATTTATTGATTTGCGTATATTGAACCAGCCTTGCATCCCAGGGATGAAGCCCACTTGATCATGGTGGATAAGCTTTTTGATGTGCTGCTGGATTCGGTTTGCCAGTATTTTATTGAGGATTTTTACGTCTATGTTCATCAAGGATATTGGTCTAAAATTCTCTTTTTTTGTTGTGTCTCTGCCAGGCTTTGGTATCAGGATGATGCTGGCCTCATAAAATGACTTAGGGAGGATTCCCTCTTTTTCTATTCATTAGAATAGTTTCAGAAGGAATGGGACCAGTTCCTCCTTGTACCTCTGGTAGAATTCGGCTGTGAATCCATCTGGTCCTAGACTCTTTTTGGTTGGTAAGCTATTGATTATTGCCACAATTTCAGAGCCTGTTATTGGTCTATTCAGACAGTCAACTTCTTCCTGGTTTAATCTTGGGAGGGTGTATGTGTCGAGGAATGTATCCATTTCTTCCAGATTTTCTAGTTTAGTTGCATAGAGGTGTTTGTAGTATTCTCTGATGGTAGTTTGTATTTCTGTGGGATTGGTGGTGATTTCCCCTTTATCATTTTTTATTGCATCTATTTGATTCTTCTCTATTTTCTTCTTTATTTGTCTTGCTAGCGGTCTATCAATTTTGTTGATCCTTTCAAAAAACCAGCTCCTGGATTCCTTAATTTTTTGAAGGGTTTTTTGTGTCTCTGTTTCCTTCAGTTCTGCTCTGATTTTAGTTATTTCTTGCCTTCTGCTAGCTTTTGAAAGTGTTTGCTCTTGCTTTTCTAGTTCTTTCAATTGTGATGATAGGGTGTCAATTTTGGATCTTTCCTGCTTTCTCTTGTGGGCATTTAGTGCTATAAATTTCCCTCTACACACTGCTTTGAATGTGTCCCAGAGATTCTGGTATGTTGTGTCTTTGTTCTTATTGGTTTCAAAGAACATCTTTATTTCTGCCTTCGTTTCGTTATGTACCCAGTAGTCATTCAGGAGCAGGTTGTTCAGTTTCCATGTAGTTGAGTGGTTTTGAGTGAGATTCTTAATCCTGAGTTCTAGTTTGATTGCACTCTGGTCTGAGAGACAGTTTGTTATAATTTCTGTTCTTTTTCATTTGCTGAGGAGAGCTTTACTTCCAACTATGTGGTCAATTTTGGAATAGGTGTGGTGTGGTGCTGGAAAAAATGTACATTCTGTTGATTTGGGTTGGAGAGTTCTGTAGATGTCTATTAGGTCCATTTGGTGCAGAGCTGAGTTCAATTCCTGGATATCCTTGTTAACTTTCTGTCTCATTGATCTGTCTAATGTTGACAGTGGGGTGTTAAAGTCTCCCATTATTATTGTGTGGGAGTCTAAGTCTCTTTGTAGGTCACTCAGGACTTGCTTTATGAATCTGGGTGCTCCTGTATTGGGTGCATATATATTTAGGATATTAGCTCTTCTTGTTGAATTGATCCCTTTACCATTATCTAATGGCCTTGTCTCTTTTGATCTTTGTTGGTTTAAAATCTGTTTTATCAGAGACTAGGTTTGCAACCCCTGCCTTTTTTTGTTTTCCATTTGCTTGGTAGATCTTCCTCCATCCCTTTATTTTGAGCTTATGTGTGTCTCTGCACGTGAGATGCGTTTCCTGAATACAGCACACTGATGGGTCTTGACTCTTTATCCAATTTGCCAGTCTGTGTCTTTTAATTGGAGCATTTAGTCCACTTACATTTAAAGTTAATATTGTTATGTGTGAATTTGATCCTGTCATTATGATGTTAGCTGGTTATTTTGCTCGTTAGTTGATGCAGTTTCTTCCTAGCATTGATGGTCTTTACAATTTGGCATGATTTTGCAGTGGCTGGTACTGGTTGTTGCTTTCTATGTTTAGTGCTTCCTTCAGGAGCTCTTTTAGGGCAGGCCTGGTGGTGACAAAATCTCTCAGCATTTGCTTGTCTGTAAAGGATTTTATTTCTCCTTCACTTATGAAGCTTAGTTTGGCTGGATATGAAATTCTGGGTTGAAAATTCTTTTCTTTAAGAATGTTGAATATTGGCCCCCACTCTCTTCTGGCTTGTAGAGTTTCTGCCGAGAGATCTGCTGTTAGTCTGATGGGCTTCCCTTTGTGGGTAACCCGACCTTTCTCTCTGGTTGCCCTTAACATTTTTTCCTTCATTTCAACTTTGGTGAATCTGACAATTATGTGTCTTGGAGTTGCTTTTCTCGAGGAGTATCTTTGTGGCGTCCTCTGTATTTCCTGAATCTGAATGTTGGCCTGCCTTGCTAGATTGGGGAAGTTCTCCTGGATAATATCCTGCAGAGTGTTTTCCAACTTGGTTCCATTCTCCCCGTCACTTTCAAGTACACCAATCAGACGGAGATTTGATCTTTTCACATAGTCCCATATTTCTTGGAGGCTTTGTTCATTCCTTTTTTTTCTTTTTTCTCTAAACTTCCCTTCTCACTTCATTTCATTCATTTCATCTTCCATCACTGATACCCTTTCTTCCAGTTGATCCCATTGGCTCCTGAAGCTTCTGCATTCTTCACATAGTTCTTGAGCCTTGGCTTTCAGCTCCATCAGCTCCTTTAAGCACTTCTCTGTATTGGTTATTCTAGTTATACATTCATCTAAATTTTTTTCAAAGTTTTCAACTTCTTTGCCTTTGGTTTGAATTTCCTCCTGTAGCTCGTAGTAGTTTGATCTTCTGAAGCCTTCTTCTCCCAACTCATCAAAGTCATTCTCTGTCCAGATTTGTTCCATTTCTGGTGAGGAGCTGCGTTCCTTTGGAGGAGGAGAGGCACTCTGCTTTTTAGAGTTTCCAGTTTTTCTGCTCTGTTTTTTCCCCATCTTTGTGGTTTTATCTACTTTTGATCTTTGATGATGGTGATGTACAGATGGGTTTTTGGTGTGGATGTCCTTTCTGTTTGTTAGTTTTCCTTCTAACAGACAGGACCCTCAGCTGCAGGTCTGTTGGAGTTTTCTAGAGGTCCACTCCAGACCCTGTTTGCCTGGGTACCAGCAGCGGTGGCTGCAGAACAGCGGATTTTTGTGAACCGCGAATGCTGCTGTCTGATTTTTCCTCTGGAAGTTTTGCCTCAGAGGAGTACCCGGCCATGTGAGGTGTCAGTCTGCCCCTACTGGGAGGGGCCTCCCAGTAAGCTGCTCGGGGGTCAGGTGTCAGGGACCCACTTGAGGAGGCAGTCTGCCCGTTCTCAGATCTCCAGCTGCATGCTGGGAGAACCACTGCTCTCTTCAAAGCTGTCAGACAGGGACATTTAAGTCTGCAGAGATTACTGCTGTCTTTTTGTTTGTCTGTGCCCTGCCCCCAGAGGTGGAGCCTACAGAGGCAGGCAGGCCTCCTTGAGCTGTGGTGGGCTCCACCCAGTTTGAGCTTCCTGGCTGCTTTGTTCACCTAAGCAAGACTGGGCAATGGTGGGCACCCCTCCCCCAGCCTTGCTGCCACCTTGCAGTTTGATCTCAGACTGCTGTGCTAGCAATCAGTGAGACTCCATGGGCTTAGGACCCTCCGTGCCATGTGCGGGATATAATCTCCTGGTGTGCCGTTCTTTAAGCCCGTCAGAAAAGCACAGTATTGGGGTGGGAGTGACCCGATTTTCCAGGTACCGTCTGTCACCCCTTTCTTTGACTAGGAAAGGGAACTCCCTGACCCCTTGCGCTTCCCGAGTGAGGCAATGCCTCGCCCTGCTTCAGCTCGCACATGGTGCGCTGCACCTACTGTCCTGCGCCCACTGTCTGGCACTCCCTAGTGAGATGAACCCGGTACCTCAGATGGAAATGCAGAAATCACCCGTCTTCTGCGTCGCTCATGCTGGGAGCTGTAGACCGGAGCTGTTCCTATTCGGCCATCTTGGCCCTTCCTCCTGCATTTTTTCATACGTGGTTGGCCATTTGCATATCTTCTTTTGAGGATTGTCCTTGTCTTTAGCTCACTTTTTGATGGGATTGTTTTTTTTCTGATTCGTTTGAGTTAATTGTAGATTCTGGTTATTATTCCTTTGTCAGATGTATAGATTATGAAGATTTTCTCCCACTCTGTGGGTTGTCTGTTAACTCTGCTCACTCTTCCTTTTGCTGTGCAAAAGCTCTTTAGTTTAATTAGGTCACAGCTATTTATCTTTGTTTTTATTCCATTTGTTTTTGGGTTTTTGGTCATGAAATCCTTGCCTAAGCCAATGTCTAGAAGGATTTTTCCAATGTTATCTTCTAGAATTGTTATAGTTTCAGGTCTTAGGTTTAAGTCCTTAATCCATCTTGAGATGATTTTTGTATAAGGTGAGAAATGAGGATCCAGTTTCATTCTCCTGCATATGGCTAGCCAATTATCCCAGCACCATTTGGTTGAAAAGGTAGTCCTTTCCCCACTTTATGTTTTTTGTTTGCTTTGTCGAAGATTAGTTAGCTGTATTTGGGTTTATTTTTGGGTTCTCTATTCTGTTCCAGTGGTCTACGCATGTATTTTTATGCCAGTACCATGTTGTTTTCGTGACTATGGCCTTATAGTATAGTTTGAAATCAGGTAGTGTGGTGCCTCCAGATTTGTTCTTTTTGCTTAGTCTTCCTTTTGCTACGAGGGGTCTTTTTTAGTTCCTTATGAATTTTAGAATTTTTTTTCTAATTCTGTGAAGAATGATTATGGTATTTTGATGGGGATTGCATTGAATTTGTAGAATGCTCTTGGCAATATGGTCATTTTCACAATATTGATTCTACCCATCCATGAGCATGGGTTGTGTTTCCATTTAGTTGTGTCTATGAATTCTTTCAGCAGTGTTTTGTAGTTTTCCTTGTAGAGGTCTTTTGACTCCTTTGTTAGGTATATTCCTAAGCATTTTATTTTTTCCAGCTATTGTAAAAGAAGTAGAGTTCTTGATTTGATTCTCCACTTGGTCGCTGTTGGTATATAGAAGAGCTACTGATTTGTGTACATTAATATTGTATCTGGAAACTCTGCTGAATTCTTTTATCAGTTCTAGGATCTTTCTGGAGGAGTCCTTAGGGTTTTTAAGGAACACAATCGTATTGTCAGCAAATAGGGACAGTTTGTCTTCTTCTTTACTGATTCGGATGCCCTTTATTTCTTTCTCTTGTCTGATTGCTCTGGCTAGGACTTCCAGTATTACGTTGAAGAGGAGTGGTGAGAGTGGGCATCCTTGTCTTGTTCCAGTTCTCAGTGGGAATGCTTTCAATGTTTCACCATTCAGTATCATGTTGGCTGTGGGTTTGTCATAGATGGCTTTTATTACATTAAGGTATGTCCCTTGCATGCCAATTTTGCTGAGAGTTTTAATCATAAAGGGACGCTAGATTTTGTTGAATGCTTTTTCTGCATCTATTGAGATGATCATGTGATTTTTGTTTTTAATTCTGTTTATGTGGTGTATCACATTTATTGACTTGTGTATGTTAAACCATCCCTGCATCCCTGTTATGAAACCCACTTGATCATGGTGGATTATCTTTTTGATATGTTGTTGGGTTTGGTTTGCTAGTATTTTGTTAAGGATTTTAGCATTGTAGAATGAATTAGGGAGAGTTTCTTCTTTCTCTGTCTTATGGTATAGTGTCAAAAGGATTGGTACCAATTCTTCTTTGAATGTCTGGTCGAATTCTGCTGTGAATCCATCTGGTCCTGGACTTCTTTTTGTTGGTAATTTTTATTTTTTTATTTTTTTATTATTTTTTATTATACTTTAGGTTTTAGGGTACATGTGCACAACGTACAGGTTTGTTACATATGTATATATGTGCCATGTTGGTGTGCTGCACCCATTAACTCATCATTTACATTAGGTATATCTCCTAATGCTTTTTCTTCCCCCTCCCCCTACCCCACGACAGGCCCCAGTGTGTGATGTTCCCCACCCTGTGCCCAGGTGTTCTCATTGTTCAATTCCCACCTATGAGTGAGAACATGTGGTGTTTGGTTTTCTGTCCTTGCAATAGTTTGTTCAGAATGATGGTTTCCAGCTTCATCCATGTCCCTACAAAGGACATGAACTCATCCTTTTTTATGGCTGCATGTTGGTAATTTTTAAATTACCATTTCAATCTCACTGCTTGTTATTAAGATTAGATACCTGTTCAGGGTATCTAATTCTTCCTGATTTAAGGTAGGAGGGTTGTATTTTTCCAGAAATTTATCCACCTCTTTCAGGTTTTCTAGTTTATGTGCATAAAGGTGTTCATAGTAGCCTTGAATGATCTTTTGTATTTCAGTGGTGTCAATTGTAATATCTCCTGTTTCGTTTCCTAGTGAGTTTATTTGGATTTTCTCTCTTATTTTCTTGGTTAATCTTGCTAATGGTCTATCGATTTTATTTATCTTTTCAAAGAACCAGTTTTTTGTTTCATTTATCTTTTGTAATTTTTTTTGTTTGAATTTCATTTAGTTCTGCTCTGATCTTGGTTATTTCTTCTCCTGGGTTTGGATTTGGTTTGTTCTTGTTTCTCTAGTTCCTTGAGGTGTGACCTTAGATTGTCAGTTTGTGTTATTTCAGTCTTTTTGATGTAGGCAGTTATGGCTATGAACTTTCCTCTTAGCACTGCCTTTGCTATATCCCAGAGGTTTCGGTAGGTTGTGTCCTTATTGTCGTTCAGTTTAAAGAATTTTTTAATTTCCATCTTTATTTCGTTTTGGACCCAATGCTCATTCAGGAGCAGGTTATTTAATTTCCATGTATTTGCATGGCTTCAAAGGTTCCTTTAGAAGTTAATTTCCAGTTTTATTCCACTGTGGTCTGAGAGACTGCTTGATATAATTTCAATTTTCTCAAATTTATTGAGGCTCGTTTTATGGCCCATCGTATGATCTATCTTGGAGAAGATTTCATGTGATGTTGAATAGAATGTGTTTTCTGTGGTTGTTGGATGAAATGTTCTGTATATATCTGTTAAATCCATTGGTTCCAAGGTATAGTTTAAATCTATTGTTTCTTTGTTGACTTTCTGTCTTGATGACCTGTCTAGTGCTGTCAGTGGAGTATTGAAGTCCCCCACTATTATTGTGTTGCTATCTATCTCATTTCTTAGGTCTATTAGTAATTGTTTTATAAATTTGGGAGGTCCAGTGTTAGGTGTATGTATGTTTAGGATTGTGATATTTACCTGTTGGACAAGGCCTTTTACTATCATATAATGTCCCTCTTTGTCTCTTTTAACAGCTGTTGCTTTAAAGTTTGTTTTTTTCTGATATAAGAATAGCTACCCCTGCTTGATTTTGGTGTCCATTTGCATGAAATGTCTTCTTCCACTACTTTATTATAAGTTTATGTGAGTCCTGATGTGTTAGGTGAGTCTTCTGAAGGCAGCAGATAGTTGGTTGGTGAGTTCTTATCCATTCTGCAGTTCTATATCTTTTAAGTGGAGAATTTAGGCCATTTACATTCCATGTTATTATTGAAATCTGAGGTATCACTGCATTCATCATGCTCTTTGTTGCCTGTGTACTTCGCTTTTTTTGTTTTGTTTTTTTAACTTGTATTTTTCTTCTATACGTCCTGTGTGATTTATGCTTTAAAGAGGTTCTGTTTTGATGTGTTTCTAGGATTTGTTTCAAGATTTAGAGCTCCTTTTAGCAGTTCTTGTAGTGGTCGTTTGATAGTGGCGAATTCTCTCAGCCATTGTTTGTCTGAAAAAGACTCTATCTTTCCTTCATATTTGATGCTTAGTGCTGGATACAGAATTTTTGACTGATAATTGTTTTGTTTGAGGAGACTGAAGATAGGGCCCCAAACCCTTCTAGCTTGTAGGGTTTCTGCAGAGAAGTCTGCTGTTAATCTGATAGGTCTTCCTTTATAGGTTACCTGGTGCTTCTGTCTTACAGCTCTTAAGATTCTTTCCTTCGTCTTAACTTTGGATAACCTGACGACAATGTGCCTAGCTGATGATCTTTCTGCAATTAATTTCCCAGGTGTTCTTTGTGCTTCTTCTATTTGGATGTTTAGATCTCTAGCAAGACTGGGAAGTTTTCCTTGATTATTCTCCCAAATACGTTTTGCAAGCTTTTAGAATTCTCTTCTTCCTCAGGAACACTGATTATTCTTAGGTTTGGACATTTAACATAATCCAAGACTTCTTGGAGGCTTTGTTCATATTTTCTTATTCTTTTTTCTTTGTCTTTGTTGGATTAGGTTGATTTGAAGGCCTTGTCTTCAAGCTCTGAATTTCTTTCTTCTACTTGTTCAATTCTATTGCTGAGAGTTTCCAGAACATTTTGCATTTCTATAAGTCTGTCAATGTTTTCTGCATTTTTTTTTTCTTTTTTTTTTTTTTTGAGATGGAGTCTCTCTCTGTCACCCAGGCTGGAGTGCAGTGGTGTGATATCGGCTCACTGCAAGCTCCACCTCCCAAGTTCACGCCATTCTCCTGCCTCAGCCTCCCGAGTCGCTGGGTACAGGCGCCTGCCACCATGCCTAGCTAATTTTTTGTATTTTTAGTAGAGACAGGGTTTCACTGTGTTAGCCAGGATGGTCTCGATCTCCTGACCTTGTGATCCACCCGCCTCAGCCTCCCAAAGTGCTGGGATTACAGGCGTGAGCCACCATGCCCGGCCTTTTTCTTTAAGCTATCTATTTCCTTGGATATTTCTCTCCACTTCTTGTATTGTTTCTTTTTTGGATTTCCTTGCATTGGGCTTTGCCTTTCTCATCTGCCTCCCTCATTAGCTTAATAACCAATCTCCTGAATTCTTTTTCAGGTAAATCAGGAATTTCTTCTTGGTTTGCATCCATTGCTGGTGAACTAGTGTGATATTTTGGGGGTGTTGACGAGTCTTGTTTTGTCATATTACTAGGGTTGGTTTTCTGGTTCCTTCTCATTTGGGTGGGCTCTGTCAGAGGGAAGTTCTAGGGCTAAAGGCTGTTAAGATTTTTTTTGTCCCACTGTGTGTTTCTTTGATGTAGTATTCTCCCCCATTTTCCTATGGATGTGGATTCCTGTGAGCCGAACTGCAGTAATTGTTGTCTCTCTTCTGGGTCTAGCCACCCAGCAGGTCTACCTGGCTCTGGGCTGGTACTGGGGGTTGTCTGCACAGAGTCCTGTGATATGAACTGTCTATGGGTTTCTCAGCTGTGGATGCCCGTGCCGTTCTTGTGGACATTGTGGGGAGGGGGTGCAGTGGACTTCATGAGGGTTCTTAGCTTTGGTGTTTAATACTCTATTTTTGTGCAGGTTTGCCTCTTGCTGGGAGGTGGCACTTTCCAGAGAGCAATTAGCTGTGGTAGTATGGAGAGGGACCTGCGGTGGGTGGGACCCTAAAAGTCCCAAGATTATATGCCCTTTGTCTTCTGATACCAGGGTGGGTAGGGAAGGACCATCAGGTGGGGGCAGGGCTAGGTGTGCCTCAGCTCAGATTCTCCTTGGGTGGGTCTTGTTGCGGCTGCTGTGGGGGATGGGGGGTGAGATTCCCAGGTCACTGCAGTTGTGTACCTAGGAGGATTATGGCTGCCTCTGCTGAGTCATACAGGTTGTTAGAGAAGTGGGGAAAGCCAGCAGTCACAGGCCTCACCCAGCTCCCATTCAAACTGAAGGGCCCGTCTCACTCCTACCGTGCTCCACCCCCAACAGCCCAGGGTCTGTTTCCAGGCGGTGGGCAAGCCAGGCTTGAAAACTTGCCCCAGGCTATCCTCCTCCCAGCTGCGAAAGGAAACGGCTTGGTTTTTCCCCTGCCTGTGATGTCTGCATACCGTATTTGCACCTTCCCTGGAGTTGTGTCCAGGAGGCTTCTCTCCTCCTTCAAATTGTTATACAGTTCAGCTAGAGATTTTCTTCTCCTTGTGGAGTTTTATGCCCTGTTCCTCTGGCTGCCCTCCCCATGGATCCCTGCGGTGCCAGGCAGGAATGGCCTGCTTGGGGACCCAGGGAGCTCCCAGGGCCTTTCTGCTGCCTCCTCTACCCCTGTATTTTGCTCAACTCCCTAAATTGACTCAGCTCCAGGTAGGACCAGAAACTTCTCCCACAAACAGAGCTTCAGTTTCTCCAGTGGGGGTGTGTGTTCGGGAAAGGAGGCTCTCCCTGTCCCACTTCTGCAGTTGGGGCACTCACAGTATTTGGTGTGTCTCAAGAGTCCTACAGGAGAAGTCGGCTTCCTTCAGAGGGTCTGTGGGTCCTCTGCTGGTTTGTTTTTGCAGTTGATCTGGAGCTAAATTTCACAGTGCGAGCATCCGTATGCTGCTCTGTCCAAAGCTGCAATCTAGTCCTGCCTCCCATCCACCATGATGATCCAGAATGGCTATTATTAAAAAGTCATAAAATAACAGATGCTGGCAAGGTTGTGGAGAAAAAGGAATGCTTATACACTGTTGGTGAGAGTGTAAATTAGTTCAGCCATTGTGGAAGACAGTGTGGTGATTCCTCAAAGAGCTAACAACAGAAATATCATTTGACCCAGCAATCCCATTACTGGGTATATACCCAAAGGAATATAAATCATTCCATCATAAAGACATGTGCACACGTATGTTCACTGCAGCACTATTCACAATAGCAAAGATATGGAATCAACCTAAATGCCCATCAATGATAGACTGGATTTTTAAAATGTGGTACATATACACCATGGAATATTATGCAGCCAAAAAAAAAAAATGAGATTATGTCCGTTGCAGGGACATGGATGGAGCTGGAGGCCATTATCTTTAGCAAACTAACGCAGGAACAGAAAAACAAATACTACATGATCTCACATATAAGTGGGAGCTAAATGATGAGAACACAGGGCCACATTGAGGGAAACTACACATTGGCACCTTTTGGAGGATAGAGGGTGAGAGGAGGGAGAGGATCAGGAAGAATAATAGATACTAGGCTTAATAACTGGATGATGAAATAATCTGTACAACAAACCCCCATGACACAAGTTTACCTATGTAATAAACTTGCACTTGTACCCCTAAACTTAAAACTTAAAAAAAGAAATAAAACTTTATACAACATATAACCAATTACATTCAAGTTTTTCACTTTGAGCCTCTAAATAAAGATGACAAATTCTAGCAAAAAAAAAGTTGAGGATATTGTGTTTGTTAAGGTAGAGTACAGACAACTCCACAATCTCTGACTTACTTATTAGCTAGTTGTTTGGTGGGAATAGGAATTTCTCCTTCTTCCCCACTTGGGATTTTTTTTTTTTTTCCTACTGTGCCTCTCTCAGCTTGCTGTCTTTCAGATTGTACATAACTCTGCAATGCAGAAGCTATTAGGAGTGGCTGGGTGTGCTCTTGCTGTGTCTTCCACTGTATCCCTGCCCCCAACTTGTTTCTATCTTTGAGCACATTTCTAAGCTCATCTTACTATGACTATAGCCTCCAACTTATAACTAGCTCCTATAATGAAATTCCCAGGAGAGCCAAAGTCTTAAATTTCCATTGCAGTGTAAATACCTCACTTGTGTACCCAAAGGCCTACCATCATGGGAAATTTTATTTTTCCCTAAAATGACCTAAGTGGAAAATGAAAAGGAGGATATGGAAGAGTCTTTCCTTCCTTGAGTCTAAACTTACCTAATAGGAAGTCTGCAAACTAAAGAAAATGGACCAGTTGATATTTAAGGCCCCCCTCAGCTCTAATCTACTTCTGATCCAGTGAATTTTGTGGCTTGGCCTGGCGACCTACCACTATTTGGAAAACTATTTCTGTAGAAAAATGCATTCAGTTGGGAAAAAAATTACAGAACTTTAGAACTCAGAGTAGGTGTAAGTTGGGGTTTATATGTTTAGATAGCATATTTGAATTGAATTATAAGAAATAAGATATGATTTAAAAGAAACCTTCTTATATATGTTATTATATTTTCCATTTTTACCACGGTTAGATATTGCCAATTCAATGTTATAGGAGATTTAGTATGGTCACACATCTCAGAACCATGTAGAGTCCCTGAAATAACAGCAGATCTTGTTTGACTATCAGAAACCTAAAATAACAAAAATTCAAGTAGCATACTTAAAAATTATACTCTGTAAGTTATGATGCAGTCTTTAAGTCTTATTTGATGCTAAGCATATTGTTCTCCTCATATTAGGTGCTTAAATACTGTGATTAAACAATGGACCATTAATTTTATTTTTAACAATGTCACACTTGATCCTTACTTATTGAATTGCTAAAGGAGATTATCAAAGTTTTAACCAGGTAAAGCTTGAAATTAAAACTGTAGTAGAGAATGTGTATGTTTTACACTGACAAATTAAAAAGAATACTTAAATATGCACTTTAATTACTTACTACAGGTTTCCCAATGTTGAAACAACATGAGTTTCCATTTTCTGCTTTGCTCTAAAAGTAAAAAAAGAGCAACCCAAAACAAAATATTACATTGGCAAAAACAAGGGAAAGGAGTTAGATGTCTGTTATGCAACTATAAATACATAATCACCAAGAGTTCTTCCAAACACCTAATAGCAACTAACATTAAAATATTTAAAATGCGAGGGTAGTCTAAAGGATATACTATTAAACAAATTTTAACAAAAGTCCCCAGTTTCAATAAAATCATGTTAACTCGTTAGGACTGTAGAATAACTCACAATCTTTTTACTAGCAGGCAACTAGAAAAAATTATGTGGTATACATATTTTGCATGAAATTCATTTATTCACGATTTTAAGAGGCAGCTTAGATGGAGAACCAGAATATGTAGGGATAAGTACATGAAGGATAAAATTCCTTTCAGTTGAGAACTGAAGCTACAGAACACCAAAATTTGTTGTTGTGGTTGCTATTCTCTAGCCTTTAAATGAGATCCTAATAACTAAAGGATATTTTGGTTTTCTGAATGTAAACAAAATTAACATCCAAAATATAGATGAAAAAGGTGGCTGACTGAGGCAGCTGAGATGTGCCTCTTCCATGAAGAGGAACCACAATATTGACTAAATTTTGATACTTTAAACAGATCTTTTGAGAGCAAACACTGAAATTTAATAGACAGGCAATAGAAGACAGTGGTTGAGGAGGGAAGAAGCAGGATTGCCTGCTCAGTGTTACTGGGTACTGGGAATGGATCCCAGACGCAGACTGGGCTCAAGAAAGGGGCAGTTTAAGGAACCAGGAGGTTTTCCGCATCTATTGAGATAATCATGTGGTTTTTGTCTTTGGTTCTGTTTATATGCTGGATTACGTTTATTGATTTTCGTATGTTGAACCAGCCTTGTATCCCAGGGATGAAGCCCACTTGACCATGGTGGATAAGCTTTTTGATGTGCTGCTGGATTTGGTTTGCCAGTATTTTATTGAGGATTTTTGCATTGATGTTCATCAAGGACATTGGTCTAAAATTCTCTTTTTTTGTTGTGTCTCTGCCAGGCTTTGGTATCAGGATGATGCTGGCCTCATAAAATGAGTTAGGGAGGATTCCCTCTTTTTCTATTGATTGGAATAGTTTCAGAAGGAATAGTACCAGCTCCTCCTTGTACCTCTGGTAGAATTCGGCTGTGAATCCATCTGGTCCTGGACTTTTTTTGGTTGATAAGCTATTAAATATTGCCTCAATTTCAGAGCCTGTTATTGGTCTATTCAGAGATTCAACTTCTTCCTGGTTTAGTCTTGGGACATTGGTCTAAAATTCTCTTTTTTTGTTGTGTCTCTGCCAGGCTTTGGTATCAGGATGATGCTGGCCTCATAAAATGAGTTACGGAGGATTCCCTCTTTTTCTATTGATTGGAATAGTTTCAGAAGGAATAGTACCAGCTCCTCCTTGTACCTCTGGTAGAATTCGGCTGTGAATCCATCTGGTCCTGGACTTTTTTTGGTTGATAAGCTATTAATTATTGCCTCAATTTCAGAGCCTGTTATTGGTCTATTCAGAGATTCAACTTCTTCCTGGTTTAGTCTTGGGAGAGTGTATGTGTTGAGGAATTTATCCATTTCTTCTAGATTTTCTAGTTAATTTGCATAGGGGTGTTTCTAGTATTCTCTGATGGTAGTTTGTATTTCTGTGGGATCGGTGGTGATATCCCCTTTGTCATTTTGTATTGCATCTATTTGATTCTTCTCTCTTTTCTTCTTTATTAATCTTGCTAGCGGCCTATCAATTTTCTTGATCTTTTCAAAAAACCAGCTCCTGGATTCATCGATTTTTTGAAGGGTTTTTTGTGTCTCTATTTCCTTCAGTTCTGCTCTGATCTTAGTTATTTCTTACCTTCTGCTAGCTTTTGAATGTGTTTGCTCTTGCTTCTCTAGTTCTTTTAATTGTGATGTTAGGGTGTCAATTTTAGATCTTTCCTGCTTTCTCTTGTGGGCATTTAGTGCTATCAATTTCCCTTTACACACTGCTTTGAATGTGTCCCAGAGATTCTGGTAAGTTGTGTCTTTGTTCTTGTTGGTTTCAAAGAACATCTTTATTTCTGCCATCGTTTCGTTATGTACCCAGTAGTCATTCAGGAGCAGGTTGTTCAGTTTCCATGTAGTTGAGTGGTTTTGAGTGAGTTTCTTAATCCTGAGTCCTAGTTTGATTGCACCGTGGTCTGAGAGACAGTTTGTTATAATTTGTGTTCTTTTACATTGCTGAGGAGTGCTTTACTTCCAACTATGTGGTCAATTTTGGAATAGGTGTGGTGTGGTGCTGAAAAGAATGTATATTCTGTTGATTTGGGGTGGAGAGTTCTGTAGCTGTCTATTAGGTCCACTTGCTGCAGAGCTGAGTTCAATTCCTGGATATCCTTGTTAACTTTCTGTCATTGGTCTGTCTAATGTTGACAGTGGGATGTTAAAGTCTCCCATTATTATTGTGTGGGAGTCTAAGTCTCTTTGTAGGTCACTAAGGACTTGCTTTACGAATCGGGGTGCTCCTGTATTGGGTGCATATATATTTAGGAGAGTTAGTTCTTCTTGTTGAATTGATCCCTTTACCATTATCTAATGGCCTTCTTTGTCTCTTTTGATCTTTGTTGGTTTAAAGTCTGTTTTATCAGAGACTAGGATTGCAACCCCTGCCTTTTTTTGTTTTCCATTTGCTTGGTAGATCTTCCTCCATCCCTTTATTTTGAGCTTATGTGTGTCTCTGCACGTGAGATGCGTTTCCTGAATACAGCACACTGATGGGTCTTGACTTTTTATCCAATTTGCCAGTCTGTGCCTTTTAATTGGAGCATTTAGCCCACTTACAATTAAGGTTAATATTGTTATGTGTGAATTTGATCCTGTCATTATGATGTTAGCTGGTTATTTTGCTCGTTAGTTGATGCAGTTTCTTCCTAGCATTGATGGTCTTTACAATTTGGCATGATTTTGCAGTGGCTGGTACCGGTTGTTCCTTTCCATGTTTAGTGCTTCCTTCAGGAGCTATTTTAGGGCAGGCCTGGTGGTGACAAAATCTCTCAGCATTTGCTTGTCTGTAAAGGATTTTATTTCTCCTTCACTTATGAAGCTTAGTTTGGCTGGATATGAAATTCTGGGTTGAAAATTCTTTTCCTTAAGAATGTTGGATATTGGCCCCCACTCTCTTCTGGCTTGTAGAGTTTCTGCCGAGAGATCCGCTGTTAGTCTGATAGGCTTCCCTTTGTGGGTAACCCGACCTTTCTCTCTGGCTGCCCTTAACATTTTTTCCTTCATTTCAACTTTGGTGAATCTGACAATTATGTCTTGGAGTTGCTCTTCTAGATGAGTATCTTTGTGGCATTCTCTGCATTTCATGAATTTGAATGTTGGCCTGCCTTGCTAGATTGGGGAAGTTCTCCTGGATAATATCCTGCAGAGTGTTTTCCAACTTGGTTCCATTCTCCCCGTCACTTTCAGGTACACCAATCAGACGTAGATTTGGTCTTTTCACATAGTCCCACATTTCTTGGAGGCTTTGTTCGTTTCTTTTTATTCTTTTTTCTCTAAACTTCTTTTCATGCTGCATTTCATTCATTTCATCTTTCATCGCTGATACCCTTTCTTCCAGTTGATCACATTGGTTACTAAGGCTTGTGCATTCATCACATAGTTCTCGTGCCATGGTTTTCAGCTCCATCAGGTCCTTTAAGGGCTTCTCTGCATTGGTTATTCTAGTTAGACATTCGTCTAATTTTTTTTATAGTTTTTAACTTCTTTGCCATGAGTTCGAACTTCCTCCTTTAGCTCAGAGTAGTTTGATCTTCTGAAGCCTTCTTCTCTCAACTCATCAAAGTCATTCTCCGTCCAGCTTTGTTCCATTGCTGGTGAGGAGCCACGTTCCTTTGGAGGAGGAGAGGCGCTCTGATTTTTAGAGTTTCCAGTTTTTCTGCTCTGTATTTTCCCCATCTTTGTGGTTTTATCTACCTTTGGCCTTTGATGATGGTGATGTACAGATGGGTTTTTGGTGTGGATGTCCTCTATGTTTGTTAGTTTTCCTTCTAACAGTCAGGACCCTCAGCTGCAGGTCTGTTGGAGTTTACTGGAGGTCCACTCCAGACCCTGTTTGCCTGGGTATCAGCAGCGGTGGCTGCAGAACGGCGGATATTGGTGAACCGCAAATGCTGCTGCCTGATCATTCCTCTGGAAGTTTTGTCTCAGATGAGTACCCGGCCGTGTGAGGTATCAGTCCACCCCTACTGGGGGGTGCCTCCCATTTAGGCTACTTGGGGGTCAGGGACCCACTTAAGGAGGCGGAGACTGGGTAATTTATAAAGAGAAGAGTTTTAACTGGCTTACTGTTCTGCAGGATTTACAGGCAGCATGGTTCTGGTATATGCTAGGCTTCTAGGTTGGCCTAAGGAAGCTTACAATGGCAGGAGGTGAAGGTGGAGCAGGCACATCAAATGGCAAAAGCAGGAGCAAACAAGAGAGTGGGTAGGGAAGATGCCACACACTTTTAAATGAACAAATGTGAGAACTCACTCACTGTGGTGGTTAATACTGAGTGTCAATTTGATTGGATTGAAGGATGCAAAGTATTGATCCTGGGCATGTCTGTGAGGGTGTTGCCAAAGGAGATTAACATTTGAGTCAGTGGTCTGGGAAAGGCAGACCCACCCTTAATCTGGGTGGTGGGCAGCATCTAATCAGCTGCCAGCCCAGCCAGAATGTGAAGCAGCCAGAAAAACGTGAAAAAGTTAGACTGGCTTAGCCTCCCAGACTACATCTTTCTCCCATGCTGGATGCTTCCTGCCCTCGAACATCAGACTCCAAGTTCTTCAGCTTTGGGACTCAGACTGGCTTCCTTGCTCCTCAGCTTGCAGATGGCCTATTGTGGGACCTTGTGATCGTGTGAGTTAATACTACTTAATAAACTCATATATATATATATATATATATATATATATATATATATATATATATTAGTATATATGTATATTAGTATATATATATTTACTAGTATATATATTAGTATATATATATTAGTATATATATTAGTATATATATTAGTATATATATTAGTATATATATATTAGTATATATATATTCTAATAGTTCTATACCTCTATAGAACTCTGAGTAATATAGATTTTGTTACCAGGAGTGGTTCTAGAGTATCAGAATATTAAGGATGGAGTTCTTTCATTGATTTGGGGGTTTCTGGAGTTGGCTGCTTAATATGATTAGACCCCAAAATGCTAAGGACTCTACTTCTAATAGTATGGAGAACACTGAGAGTCCATGGCATGAACTGTTTAGAGAGTTATGCAAAATAATGCATTTGACACTCCTGATTCACCACTCATGAGAGGTAAGGAGTTTAGTGACTCTATACATAATACCTTTCACTATATGTGGAGAACCAAGGAACATAATGAAGTTGGCTGGTTGCTCCTAAGCTCACTGGACAAAGTGATGAAAGAAAATGATGAATTCAGGGATTCTAACTCCTGGCTTCAGAAGCAGTTACTGAGCCTCAAGTTTGTTCAGATTGCCCTGAGTGAGAGTATTATCTTCTGTAGAGAAAGAGCTAAAATTGTGGAAAAACAGATACAAGCTCCTATCATGTGAGTGGCTGACCTGAAATGAAAGGTGCATGCACAGCCTTGCCATGTGTCTACTGTTAAAGTGAGGGTATTGATTGGAAAAGAATGAGACCATGCAACTTGGAACAGGGACTCTGATGAAGCTGGGGACACTGAGCTTATAAACTCTGATGAACCTTTTTTGCCAGAAGGAACAGCTTCTCCACCCCTAGTCGTGGCAACATCCCCTCCCCAACCCATGCTGCCATCAGACTTTCCATCTTTGTCTGAGATAAACCCTTCACTGCCTGAGGCAACAGTGATGGCCTCCCGTAAGGTAGCTGCCAGACAAAATAATGTTTATTTTCCTCAGGAGCCACCCCCAACATCCCTGTTTGCTTCTAGACATATAACTAAAGTCCCAGCAGGCCCCTAGAGGTGAGGTTCAGAGTGTGACCCATTTGGAGGTGCACTACACTCAAAAAAAACTGCTTGAGTTTTCTAATCTATATAAGTGGAAATCTGGATAACAGGAATGGGAATGGATATTAAGGATGTGGGATAATGATGGAAGGAACATAGACTTGGATGAGGCTGAATGTATTAATTTGGGCCCAGTAAGTAGGGATTCTGCATTTAATGTTGCAGCTCAGGGAGATAGAAAAGGTTCTAATAGTCTATTTGCTTTGTTAGCTGAAATATGGATTAAAAGATGGCCCACTGTGAGCAAGCTGGAAATGCCTGATCTCCCTTGGTTTAATGTAGAGGATGGGATCCAAAATCTTAGGGATATTGGGATGGTGGAGTGGATTAGTCACTTTAGACCTACTCATCCCAGCTGGGAGGATCCAGAAGATATATCCTTGACCAATGCCTTGCAAAATAGATTTGTGAGGGCAGCACCTGCATCTTTGAAGAGCCCTGTAATTGCTTTTCTCTGTATGTCAGATCTAGCAGTGGGAACTGCAGTCACTCAACTACAAAATTTAAGTACAATGGGAATAATTGGATCCTGAGGTGGCAGGGGCCAAGTGGTGGCACTCAGCTGTCAAAGGCAAGGTAGATGTAGGTACCATAATGGACAGCAGAGGCAAAGCAGCAATCAGAATAGTCTGACTAATGTAGAGCTCTGCCATTGGCTAATTAATCATGGTGTTCCTAGAAGCCAGATTGATAGGAAGCCTATTGCATTCATACTTAATTTATATAAGCAGAAAACTTCCAGGTTGAATGGACAAAAGATTAATTTTTAAGTCTAAGTATTACAATCTGTAACCTTCTATATTGGATAGGGGGATGGGAAAGTGTAACGTGATGAAAAGCTATTTGTAAAATTGACTTTTGTATGAATTTGCATGGTGGTATTTGTCTGGTATTATGCACTTTATAAAAATTATTATTTTTAATTGAAAATATTATTTCCGATACCTCTGGTCACCCTGAGTGGCCTGTGCTTGGAAGTATCAATCTTTTTACCTTTTTTTGGAGGACATTTTAGAGTCTGTAGCCTGAAGGAGTTTCTTAAGGTGGTAGAACACACCTAGGTACTTGTGATTGTTTGCTCAGGAAGGCATTTGTTTGGGAGCAGTCACTCTATTCATTGTAGCAGATAGGTGCCCACCCCAGGAAAATTTTTCTTGGTGACTGAATGAATAAATTTCATGATTCATGGTTTCTTTGAGGCTTTTCATATCTATATTATTTAAAATAAACTAGTTGAAGGGAAGTCTGCACTATTACAGTGTGAAGAATGCGCAATGGTAAAATAGTAAAATTTCATTTCTTAAAGCTGGATTAATTTGGTATGCAAATAAAGTGTAATGAATTATTAAATCACTATCTTGCATGCACATAAAATGGGTTAAAGTTATCCAAATTTCAATTGTGCTTCTCTTTTTTTGTCAGTTGAATATATACGATTAGCACTGCTTACTTAGCTTTTAAATATGTGTGAGATCCATTGTAAACAAAGATTATCTTCACAGTGGTGATGGAGTTACATTTACCCTAGTTGATCTACAACCATCCATGGCCTAGTTTTTAAGGTAAGAACTTCATTCTAAACAAAGTACACCACCCCATATCCCCCAGACTCTCCAGTCTGTATCAGTTACTACTTATAATTCCTTCAGTCTGCCTTACTATTTGCCAACAAAGTGACCTTGCCTTCAAGCTTCAAAATAGCCTCCTCAATATCTAGCATTAGTTCATTTTCTTTCATTTGGAACAGGTAAGAGTGCTTTGAGAATCATTATTTGCAGGGACTCAACTTTGCTCTATTAGAAAATTTTTATTAGTAAATTTCTTATACTTAGCTCATAGGAAATATGTCTGAAACCCAAGTTTGCAATTTATCATGTATGTTAGGATAAATATTTGAAAGTTTACAATTGTCATTACATTTTTAGAGTAACAACCATAAGAGGCTCAGAACACACAACTGTGTTTGAAGTGGTTAGTTTCATAACCCCAAGATGCAAACTGGACCCTCCACTTGCACCCAGACTCATTAACAGATCCAAGAGCAGCCTGAATTTACAGTGGAAAGTAAGGATTTTACTATCAAAAGCACCTGATCATGTTTTTATAATTTAAAAATACTCTTCCTACAGTGTCCTAAATTGTATAGAATGATGCATGCCTCATCCGACTTATTTCCCTAGCACTTTGTATTATTCATAATAATCTTTCCCTTCTATATACCAAGCATCAAGGAAAATTGAGAAATGTTTGTAAGAATTTCAATAATTAATAAAAGTTGGAGTATCGATTTCTACAACTTAATTATTTATCATTGTAGTTACCAATAAATTTACCTCTCAATTTGCTTAAGTTCCAATTTTTTTCATTGTATACAATTTGGAAAACATAACAACACATAGAATCTAAGGATGTCTTGTAGAGTGTAAAAAGTGCGTTTTAGCTTTAAAATCTGGATTGCTTCATAAAATATAAGCAGATTAATTTTAGAGTAACATATAGCTTTAAATTTATATACATATGCATACATGTATTTAGCATATATATATGTATTCCATGTAAAAACAGCCCCTCATGACTTTTTAAAAACATTTTTAGGGTTTCAATGATAATCGTTCCAAAATAAACAGCTTCCTTTTGGAATGGGATGAAGTATACAGTTTTATTTTTAAAAAGCACTTGTTTGTGGATGATTATTAATGTTATGATGAATTTTTGTTGTTAACTGTAGCATTTTATGATATTCTAGTATTTTGTGTCTATTATTAAAGGCAAAGGTGAAGACTTCAAAAGTTGCTATATGAGTACCATGAAACAGCACAAGATAATTGAACTGAGTATTTCTACAAAATACTCATTCAGATTAGCTACCAGAAACAACTTTGGCTTGAAGTATATTTAAATATTTACAATATTTAAGTCTATACTTCAATAAGAATCTGAGACTAATTTTCCATCTTAATCTATTCTTCAGTGATTTCAGTTAAATAGCAGTCTTCCATACATCAGGAACTATGCCTGCAACACCTCCACCTCCTAAGCTAAAAGAAGCAGGAAAGGAATCTGTTGTCAGTAGACTGGTGTGCCCCAACACAAACCCAAATGACACTCCTACTTATGTACTAGAAATGGAGGAAGCAGGATCTGTAAGCTTTTCTTTCATATGCTTTAATCTTCAACCTCAGTTTTAGGTATATGTTATATGGATTCCGCACTTGAGAAGATTTTTAATTTAATCAATTTGCTTTCTACTCAATCGATTCATTCAGGAATTGCATGATTCCCAAGTCCCTGTGTTCTGCAGGGAGCCAATGCAGAGCCAAGGTTGGGCCAGGAATTGCGTGATTCCCGACTTCCTGTGTTCCTGATGGGGCCAATGCGGAGCTGGGGTTAGGCAATTCTGCACAGAAAGATCTAAAAGTACTCAAGTCTCTGCAAATTAGCTAGAAGCAGCAGCAGCCATAACAATAGCATAGAGACTCAGAGAAGCGTGTTAGTTTTTAACTTTGGGCCTATACCAGACAATCTTGCATAGTCACATAAATCTTCAGCACCTCAACATATTTCTACCCTTTGTTCATATAACTGGATTCCTGATAAGGGTGGGCAACTATTTCATTCCATCCTGAACTTTCAAGTCTGTACTGAATAGGCTGGTAAATTTGTAAAGCAGCTGTAAATTACATTATGTATATTTTACCACAGTTTACATAAAGTAGATAAATGTTGAGAAGTGTTCTATGTTGCAAGTAACGTGCTAAGTGCTTTCACATTCATTATCTCATTAAATCCCCCCAAAGGAATGAGGCCGTCAAAGTAGAAATTATCTCCATTTTTTATATAGAGAAACTGAAGTTCAGAGAGACTAAGGGACTTGCTCAGAATCACCCAGATGGAAAATAAGTTGAAGTTGTAATGCAGGCTTGCCCAGTTCCAAAGTTCATTGTATTTCTAGGGTTTAGATTTTAAGCCGAAATACAATGGAGAAGACCTTTCATGCACTACAAGAAGTCTTCAGAGAAGTACTACATACAAGGGTATGTGGCTATACTTTATAAATTTGTGTCATATTTTAATATAAAATTATACTTTTCACCAGAGAAATGAGTATATTTTGTTTGAAATCAAACCTTATTTTGCATTTAGTTCTTAGAAATGCTCACTCAACTTACTTTATATTTGCAAACTGAACATTTTCAAATCAGACGTTTATTTGCAATGGTCAACCATATCATCCTCTTTTATTTAAACAGATCTTTGCCTGCAATATGGAAGGAAGAAGCAACAGCAGTGGAGAAGTAAAATATACAACCTGTCCAGATAAAACCGGATCCCCTAGAAAACCATATATAAAGGGAAAGGTCCATGCACACAGTGTAAAAATTGGATGGAGTAAGTAATGTTTTTGTATTTAAAATTTTCCCTCTGTCTTAATATTAACTATTGAGAAGAAATCTTCCTCTCATTGTCCTCAGCTTTATAAAATGTTCTTTTAGTCATTTATATGTGAGATATTCTGCCATATAAATGAGTTTAGTTGTAAACTATATTATTTTTCTAGTTCTCTCTTGCTATCTCATTAATTTGCAAATGAACACATTATTGAGCTTTATGTGTCCTTAAATAAGATTACATCTAATATGGAGGCCACAATTAGAAGGCCACATCAATGATAAATGTCAGCTTAAGAAATTATATTCATACAAATTATTTTCTCTCTAAACTAGAGAAATCAACTTTATGGCACATATACTTAGCTTTTCAATCTCTTGCAAATAACTTTACAATATTTATTTAAATGCTTCATTTCTAATATTCCAAACATGTAACTCGAATTATGTTTTTATTATCTTTATTAATATGTGGTTATTAATACACTATTGTTTCATGTTTATATTTTTTCCTCTGTGAAAAATGTTTCTTAACTCATGAGATAACATTCCAGTGGGAGACTTTTAAGTTTATTCAAGAATAATTTTGATTTTATTTCTCTTTTCAGAACCATCCAAAGATAATGGTGGAACATACATTTCAAGTTACAGTTTAGAAGTTAGTGAAAATTCAGATGGTAAGGCATCATGATTTTTAAAAATATTTTATTTTGAAACAATTTTAGACTCACTAGAAGTTGTAAAAAAAAAAAGGTATAGAGAGTTCCCATGTAAAATCTTCACTCAGCTTCTCCTAAGATTAATATTTTACATAACCATAGTACAATGATCAAAACTAGGAAATTGGCATTGAGATAATACTATCACCTAAACCCGAGAAATTACTTGAATTTCTGCAGTTTTTAGTAATAAATCATGTTTACTGACTGATATCTTACGATTTTATGGTTAATTCACGGGGCATATATTATTTTACTATTGAAATAGATAACTGGACCAACTTCATTTCCAAAATTGTTATTCTTAGTATATACATGAGATATCATGGAAACCGGTAACATTTATAAGCAAGCTGGGCACAGCGGCTCACGCCTGTAATCCCAACACTTTGGGAGACCAAGGCGGGTGGATTACTTGAGGTCAGGAGTTCAAGACCAGCCTAGCCAACATGGTGAAACCCCGTATCTACTAAAAATACAAAAATTAGCCAGGCTTGGTGGCGCAGGCTTGTAATCCCAGTTACTTGGGAGGCTGAGGCATGAGAATCGCTTGAACCCAGGAGGCAGAGGTTGCAGTGAGCCAAGATTACACCACTACACTCCAGCCTGGACGATAGAGCAAGACTCCGCTCAAAAAAAAATTTTTTTAAATAAGCTACCTATAAATAAATTGAATAAATTTGCTTTTATCCCTTCAGTGAATCTCTGAAACATAATTTACAGTGGCAACAAAGGAATTTCTACATAATCACCTGCAACATGATACTGCATATAAACTGAGAGTCTTTTATACCTCACTTATAGGCCAGACAGGTGAGAAAAGAAGGATGGAAAACATTTTAAATTGAAGACTGAAATGAGCTGTATCATATTACTAAATGTTTTACAAAACTGAACTTGAATCAGTACAGTCATAAGGTATTTTTTCTTTCTCTTAGCCTTCAGATATATTGACTATTCAAACACCTACTCTTTCTCCTGCATCTTGCTGTCCTCCACCCTTGAATGGTAAGACAAAGTCCAGAGAAACCAATCTCCTATGCAGTGAGGCTTCTTTGTGTGATTTGTATGACTAAGCCTACATTTCCTGTTTTGTAACTTTTGGTTTTTTATATATTAAATGATACTAAAGCAGAACCAGTGATTTTCTTTTAGAATATAATCAAATATTGGTCAGCCAATTGTTTCATTTTTTACTTTGTTCATTTTTTAGACTCCGGGTCTCACTCTGTCACCCGAGCTGGAGTGCACTGACAGTAATCATAGCTCATTGCAGCCTTGAACCCCTGGGCTCAAGCAAACCTCCCTCTTCAGCCTCCTGAGTAGCTGGGACTACAGGCATCCACTGTCATATCCAGCTACATTTTTTATTTTTTGTAGAAACAGGGTCTCACTTTGTTGCCCAGGCTGGTCATGAATTCCTGGCCTCAAGTGATCCTCCCACCTCATCCTCCCAAAGCACTGAGATTACAGGCAGGAGCCACCGAGCCTGGCCAGTTGTTTCTTACTTAGTAATTGAAACCACAAATTTTTTTGAAGTCTGTAAATAAAATTTAAAAATTAATTGACACAAATTACTACATTTTGAGTCTTCTGTTACTTTGTTTTAACAGTCTTCTCAAATTATTTTGTATAATTCTAGAGAAGCACCTTTAAAACTATTTACAAAATACTTTAAGTTTGATTTTGTATATTTTTATAGACAATTATCTTGCTAATGGAAACCCTGAAGAACTTGTATATGTCAAAAAAGCAAACGGTAACCAAGATGACACACAAGGGCACCCTGGCTCTGACGTGAAATACAGATTGAGTAAATTAATTCCCGTAGAATCCACAGTTTCTAGTTAAAAACAGCAAATAGGGATAGAGAAGTTATATTGTTAAGTTGTCCCATTTGTAGTCCATTTCACTTTGGATGGATATATGCTGCTACTTCCCGTCAAGGTGGGAAGTGATCATGCCTGCACAATCATTTGTATGTTTGCTTATTTGTTTGTTTGTAGTTTGGATCTTTCAATGAAGTGTGAAACCGCCATCAGTCCCAGGCCCTCCTTCTCAATGTGGTACACCTGTACTAACCTGAAAGGGTCCAAACTGTGCTGTTGTTAGTTGGGGAGTATGTTATCAATGTATTGTTATTAACTTATGATTATTATAAAAGCACAGTAATTTTTTTAGAACCTTTTTTGGAAACTCTGGAACTCCCTAAGGAGTCAGAGTTTAGAATTAGAATCTCACAAATCTTGGATCATGGTTTCTGGAACACACCTAGAACGTAATACTAATGGTATTAGGAAGGCTATAGCAATACTAATCCTGCCCTACAGAGCCTATATTTGAGGAAAGTAATACATTTGGAAAACCAAGTAGAATATCAATAGGTCACTAATTTAATTTTTAAAACTAAAATAAGAGATAAAGTTAAATCAATTTATAGAACTTAGCATTTTTTAAAGCTTCATTGGGAAATCTCTGGTCATGTTTGCTTGCATGTAACTATACAGTATGACACATAAGAAATGTGGCTATAAGTTAATGAAGCTTTAAAAAAAAAAAAACTTTTGGTCAGGCGCAGTGGCTCACACCTGTAATCCCTGCACTTTGGGAGGCCGAGGCAGGCGGATCACCTGAGGTCAGGAGTTCAAGACAGCCTGACCAACATGGAGAAACCCTGTCTCTACTAAAAATACAAAATTACCCGGGCGTGGTGGCGCATGCCTGTAATCCCAGCTACTCGGGAGGCTGAGGCAGGAGAATCACTAAATCACTTGAACCCTGGAGGCGGAGGTTGCGGTGGGCCAAGATGGCACCATTGCACTCCAACCTGGGCAACAAGAACAAAAATCCATCTCAAAAAAAAATAACTAAATAACTTTTTTACATCCATGTAAATATTTTCCCATTCAAACAAAGCTCTTAAAAAAATGACCTAATTATTTAGCCACGTAAGTATCTTTAAATTTTTCTTCCCTTTTCCCCAGACTCTAGCAGGGTATGTGTAGCGTTAACAAAAAGCCTTAGTCTCTTAATAATAGATGACAGGTATGATTATATCACTGTATCACTGTATAAATACCAGAGAATACTGGGGTTTGTGTTTCATCCCAGTAACCAATAGTAATATAAAGCAACATTAGTATATATGTTTGCTGTTTTTTAAGTAACTCACTTAAAAATAATTTTAATAAATTTTTAAAAAGCATTCATCTAATATGTGAATTAGATGATCCTTTTTCTTAATTTTATTTGAGCCTTTTAATGTTAATTATAGTATACTGCCTTATGCTTAACTATTTCTACACTTGTCTGTATCTCATAGCATTTAATAGATTATAAGCTTTGGCACTGAAAGGATCATGTTGTAACTCTCGACAGTATCTAGTATAGTGACTACCTAGAGAAAGAGCTCAATTTCTCTACTGCATCTTTCAGATTCCTGTGTGCAATGGTGCTGAAATCACTGATTACAGGCTAGAGTGTGGACAAATTGAAAAATCAGTGCACTTGATTTACACAGGCCCTTGCTTGAGCTATGAAGTTAAAGGTCTCATTCCTGCAACTACATATTTTTGCAGAGTCCAGGTAAACCTGACAGTTCCTCCAATGTAAACAAGACAACAGCTCATAACCTATGCTATCCACAGTCATAATACTGGCAGCATTTCCAGTGTGGAAACCAGAAGATAATCACAGACTTCCAAATGTTAGCTATTGCTCATATTCGGTGACAACATTCTGAGCTGCTGCACCTGGCATTGAAAGTCTTACATAATCTAGCTCCTACTTTCCATTCCACCTTGATCTGCCATTATTCTCTCTACAGTTCTGTGTTTCCCAAATTTCCCTGAACCTAAGAATCATCTGATATGCTTGTTAAAAACACTGACTCCTATACCCTCACTCAGACCTATTGAATCAAAATTTCTAATCCAGAGGTTTGCTAATCTGTATATTTAACAAGCACCCAAAATGATAATTATCATCAATTAGGAAAAACTGCATGAACTCTCTATTCCAAACAAATAAGTCTACTCCAACATCACCACTAACAAATATGCTATGTGCATTTGTTCATACTGTGCTCTCTGCCTATCTTGTTCCTTAAAACCAAGCTCTTGTATAAATGTTTCCCTGATAACCAAAATGGAAGTGATCTCTTCCTCTTCTGAACTACTAGAACTGTAAGATTCATAACCCGAACCCTGATACTTGACATCTGATGTCCATCCCTCAGATTGCCTTTCATAACTGAAAGTTGTCTTTTTTTAAAAAAAATCCTTTGTCAGATTTGTTGGGTGTCACTATTTTTTGTGTTGGAAAAAATGCTGTCACAATATATATTTATTAATTAGGAGGCCATTGCAATAGCCCAAAGGATAGGTGATGAAAGAAGACATACAAATGGCCAACAGGTATATTTTTAAATGCTCAACATTAGCAAATCAAAACCACAATAAGATATCATCTTAAACCAGTAAGAAGGCTATAATTAAAAAGACAAAGAAGGCCAGGCTTGATGGCTCATGCCTGTAATCCCAGCTTTTTGGGAGGTTGAGGTGGGAGGATTCCTTGAGCCCAGGAGTTCAAAATCAGCCTGGGCTCTGCTGACTGTTCCTTTTGCCATGCAAAAGCTCTTTAGTTTACTTAGGTCCCAGCTATTTATCTTTGTTTTTATTGCAATTGCTTTTGGGTTTTTCATCATGAAATCCTTGCCTAAGCCAATGTCTAGAAGGGTTTTTCCAATGTTATCCTCTAGAATTTTTATAGTTTCAGGTCTTAGGTTTAAGTCCTTAATCCATCTTGAGTTGATTTTTGTATAATGTGAGAGATAAGGGATCCAGTTTCATTCTCCTACATGTAGCTAGCCAATTATCTCAGCAGCATTTGTTGAAAAGGGAGTCCTTTCCCCACGTTATGTTTTTGTTTGCTTTGTCAAAGATCAGTTGGCTGTAAGAATTTGGCTTTATTTCTGGATTCCCTATTCTGTTCCATTGGTCTATGTGTGTATTTTTATATCAGTCCCATGCTGTTTTGGTGACTACAACCTTATAGTATAGTTTGAAATCAGGCAGTGTTATGCCTCTGGATTTGTTCTTTTTGCTTAGTCTTGCTTTGGTTATGCAGGCTCTTTTTTGGTTCCATATGAATTTTAGAATTGCTTTTTCTAACTCTGTGAAGAATGATGGTGGTATTTTGATGGGGATTGCATTAAATTTCTAGATTGCTTTTGGCAGTATGGTCATTTTCACAATATTGATTCTACCCATCCATGAGTATGGGATGTTTTGTGTCATCTGATTCTTTTAGCAATGCTTTGTAGTTTTCCATGTAGAGGACTTTTGGCTCCTTTGTTAGGTATTTTTTTTTTTTTTTTTTTTTTGCAGCTATTGTAAAAGGGGTCAAGTTCTTGATTTGATTCTCTGCTTGGTCACTGTTGGTGTATAGAAGAGCTACTGATTTGTGTACATTAATCTTGTATCCAGAAACTTCGGTGATTTTTTTTTTTTTTTTTGAGATGGAGTTTCAGTCTTGTCACCCAGACTGGAGTGCAGTGGTGCAATCTCAGCTCACTGCAACCTCCACCTCCCAGGTTCAAGCGATTCTCCTGCCTCAGCCTCCCAAGTAGCTGGGATTACAAGTGTGCATGACGACGCCTGGCTAATTTTTGTATTTTCAGTAGAGACAGGGTTTCACCACGTTGGCCAGGCTGGTCTCGAACTCCTGACCTCAGGTGATCCACCTGCCTTGGCCACCCAAAGTGCTAGGATTACAGGCATGAGCCACCGCGCCCACTCTGCTGAATTCTTTTATCAGTTCTAGGAGCTTTCTGGAGGAGTCCTTAGGGTTTTCAAGGTAAACTATCATATCATCAGGAAACAGGGACAGTTTGACTTCCTCTTTACTGATTAGGATGCCTTTTATCTCTTTCTCTTGTTGGATTGCTCTGGCTAAGACTCCCAGTATTATGTTGAAGAGGAGTAGTGTGAGTGGGCATCCTTGTCTTGTTCCCGTTCTCAGGGGGAATGCTTTGAACTTTTCCCCATTCAGTATCATGTTGGCTGTGGGTTTGTCATAGACAGCTTTTATTACATTAAGGTATGCCCCTTGTATGCCGATTTTGCTGAGAGTTTTGATCATAAAGTGATGCTGCACTTTGTTGAATGCTTTTTCTGCATCTATTGTGATGATCATGTGATGTTTGTTTTAAATTGTTTATGTGGTGAATCACATTTATTGACTTGTGTATGTTAAACCATCCCTGCATCCCTGGTATGAAACCCACTTGATCACGGTGGATTATCTTTTTGATATGTTGTCAGATTCGGTGAGCTAGTATTTTGTTAAGGATTTTAGCATTCATGTTCATCAAGGATATCAGTACGTAGTTTTCTTTTTTGGTTGTATCCTTTCCCGGTTTTGGTATTAGGGTAATGCTGGCCTCATAAAATGAATTAGGGAGGGTTCCTTCTTTCTCTATCATGTGGAATAGTGTCAAAAGGATTGGCACCAATTCTTCTTTGAATGTCTGGTCGAATTCTGCTGTGAATCCATCTGGTCCTGGACTTTTTTTTGTTGGTAATTTTTAAATTAACATTTCAATCTCACTGCTTGTTATTGGTCTGTTCAGGGTATCTAATTCTTGCTGATTTAAGCTAGGAGGGTTGTATTTTTTCCAAGAATTTATCCATCTCTTGTAGGTTTTCTAGTTTATGTGCGTAAAGCTGTTCATAGCAGCCTTGAATGATCTTTTGTATTTTGGTGGTGTCAGTTGTAATATCTCCTGTTTCGTTTCTCAGTGGAGTTATTTGGATTTTCTCTCTTCTTTTCTTGGTTAATCTTACTAATGGTCAATCAATCTTATTTATCTTTTCAAAGAACCAGCTTTTTGTTTCATTTATCTTTCACACTTTTTTTTTGTTTGTTTCCATTTCATTTAGTTCTGCTCTGATCTTGGTTACTTCCTTTCTTCTGCTGGTTTTGGTTTGCTCTTGTTTCTCTAGCTCCTTGAGGCATGACCTTAGATTGTCTGTTTGTGCTCTTTCAGACTTTTTGATGTAGGTGTTTAGGGCTATGAACTTTCCTCTTAGCACCATATTAGCTGTATCCCAGAGGTTTTGATAGGTTGTGTCATTATTGTCATTCAGTGTGAAAAAGAAAATTTTTTTTTTAAGACAGAGTCTCACTCTGTCACCCAGACTGCAGTGCAGTGGCACGATCTCGGCTCACTGCAACTTTCACCTCCCAGGTTCAAGCAATTCTCATGCCTCAGCCTCCCAAGTAGCTGGGAATACAGGCACCCACCACCACACCTGGCTAATTTTTGTATTTTTAGCAGAGATGGAGTTTACCATGTTGGTCAAGCTGGTCTCGAGAACTCCTGACCTCAGGTGATCCGCCCACCTCCATCTCCCAAAGTGCTGGGATTACAGGCGTGAGCCACCACGCCTGTCCTGAAAATTTTAATTTCCATCTTGATTTCATTTTTGACCCAATGCTCATTCAGGAGCAGGTTATTTAATTTCCATGTATTTGCATGGCTTTGAGGGTTCCCTTTGGAGTTGATTTCCAGTTCTATTCCACTGTGGTCTGAGAGAGTGCTTGATATAAGTTCAATTTTTAAAAATTTATTGAGGCTCGTTTTATGGTCTTTCATGTTGTCTATCTTGGAGAAATTTCCACAGGCTGTTGAATAGAACGTGTATCCTGTGGTTGTTGGATGAAGTGATCTGTATATATCTGTTAGGTCCATTTGTTCCAAGGTATAGTTTAAATCCATTGTTTCTTTGTTGACTTTCTGTCTTGATGACCTGTCTAGTACTGTCAGTGGAGTACTGAAGTCTCCCGCTATTATTGTGTTACTGTCTATCTCATTTCTTAGGTCTATTAGTAATTGTTTTATACATTTGGGAGGTCCAGTGTTAGGTGTATGTATGTTTAGGATTGTGATATTTTCCTGTTGGATAGGCCTTCTACCATTATATAATGTCCCCCTTTGTCTCTTTTAACCACTGTTGCTTTAAAGTTTGTTTTGTCTGATATAAGAATAGCTACTCCTGCTTGATTTTGGTGTCCATTTGCATGAAATGCGTTTTTCCACCCCTTTACTTTAAGTTTATGTAAGTCCTTATTGTCAGGCCTCTGAGCCTAAGCTAAGCCATCATATCCCCTGTGACCTGCACATACACATCCAGATGGCCGGTTCCTGCCTTAACTGATGACATTCCACCATAAAAGAAGTGAAAATGGCCCCTCCTTGCCTTAACTGATAACATTCCACCATAAAAGAAGTGAAAATGGCTGGTCCTTGCCTTAAGTGATGACATTACCTTGTGAAATTCCTTTTCCTGGCTCATCCTGGCTCAGAAAAGCTCCCCCACTGAGCACCTTGTTACACCCACTCCTTCCCGCCAGAGAACAACCCTGCTTTGACTGTAATTTTCCTTTACCTACCCAAATCTTATAAAAGAACCCCACCCCTATCTCCCTTCACTGACTCTCTGTTCAGACTCAGCCCGCCTGCACCCAGGTGATTAAAAAGCTTTATCGCTCACACAAAGCCTGTTTGGTGGTCTCTTCACATGGATGTGAATGAAACTTATGTGTTAGGTGAGTCTTCTTAAGGCAGCAGATAGTTGGTTGGTGAGTTCTTATCCATTCTGCAGTTCTGTATCTTTTAAGTAGAGCATTTAGGCCATTTATGAATGTTAGTATTGAAATGTGAAGTACCATTGCATTCATCATGCTCTTTGTTACCTGCGTCCTTTGTTTTTTGTTTTTTAACTTGAATTTTTGTTTTATAGGTCCTGTGTACTTTATGCTTTAAAGTATTCTGTTTCGATGTGTTTCCAGGATTGTTTCAAGATTTAGAGCTCCTTTTAGCAGTTCTTGTAGTGGTGGCTTGGTAACGGCAAATTCTCTCAGCATTTGTTTATCTGAAAATGATTATATCTTTTCTTCATATATGATGCCTAGTTTTGCTGGACACAAAATTCTTGGCTGAAGATTGTTTTGTTTGAGGAGGTTAAAGATAGGGCCCCAATCCTTTCTAGCTTGTAGGGTTTCTGCTGAGAAGTCTACTGTTAATCTGACAGGTTTTTCTTTATAGGTTACCTGGTGCTGTGTCTCGCAGCTCTTAAGATTCTTTCCTTGGTCTTAAGTTTGGATAACCTGATGACAATTTGCCTAGGTGAAGATGTTTTTGTGATGAATTTTCCAGGTGTTCTTTGTGCTTCTTATGTTTGCATATCTAGGTCTCTAGCAAGGCTGGGGAAGTTTTCCTTGATTATCCCCCCCAAAATGTTTTTCCAAGCTTTTAGAATTCTCTTCTTCCTCATGAATACCAATTATTCTTAGGTTTGGTGAATTAACATAATCCCAAACTTCTTGGAGGTTTTGTTCATATTTCCTTGTTCTTTTTTCTTTGTCTTTGTTGGATTGGGTTAATTTGAAGACCTTGTCTTCGAGCTCTGAATTTCTTTCTCCTACTTGTTCAATTCTATTGCTGAGACTTTCCAGAGCATTTTGCATTTCTAAAAGTGTGTCCAAAGTCTCCTGAATTTTTGTTTTTTCTTTAAGTTATCTATTTTGTTGAATATTTCTCCCTTCACTTCTTGTATCGTTTTTTGAATTTCCTTGCATTGGGCTTTGCTTTCTCTGGTACCTCCCTTATCAGCTTAATAACTAATCTCCTGAATTCTTTTTCAGGTAAGTCAGGGATTTCTTCTTGGTTTGGATCCATTGCTGTTAAACTAGTGTGATTTTTGGGGGGTGTTAATGAGCCTTGTTTTGTCATATTACCAGGGTTGCTTTTCTGGTTCCTTCCCATTGGGGTGGGCTCTGTCAGAGGGAAGGTCTAGGGCTGAAGGCTGTTGTTCAGATTTTTTTGTCCCACTGAGTATTCCCTTGATGTAGTGCTCATCCCCTTTTCCTGTGATTGTGGCTTTCTGTGAGCTGAACTGCAGTGATTATTGTCCCTCTTCTGGGTCTAGCCACCCAGCGAGTCTACCCAGCTCCTTGCTGGTTCTGTGGGTTTCTGCAGAGTCCTGTGATGTGAACCATCTATGGGTCTCTCAACTGAATACCAGCACCTGTGCTGATAAAGGTGGTGAAGGCTGCAAGAACCCTCCGTGAGTGTTCTTAGCTTTAGTGGTTTAATGCTCTATTTTTGTGCTGGTTGACCTCCTGCCAGGAGGTGATGCTTTCCAGAAAGCATTAGCTGTAGTAGTGTGAAGAGGGACCAGCTGTGGGCAGGGCCCTAGAACTCCCAAGATTACATGTCCTTTGTCTTCCACTATCAGGGTGGGTAGGGAAGGACCATCAGGTGGGGGCAGGGCTAGGTGTGTCTGAGCTCAGACTCTCCTTGAGGGGGTCTTGCTGCGGCTACTGTGGGGGATGGGGTAAGGTTCCCAGGTCACTGGAGTTGTGTACCTAGGAGGATTAGGGCTGCCTCTGCTGAGTCATGTAGGTTGTCAGGGAAGTGGGGAAAAGCCAGCAGTCACAGGCCTTACCCAGCTCCAACCCAACCGAAGGGCTGGTCTCACTTCCACCGTGCTACCCGCAACAGCCCCAAGTCTCTTTCCAGGTGGACAGGCTTGAAAGCTTGCCCGAGGCTTCCACCTCCCATCCGCCGAAGAAAAGGACTTTAGTTCTTCCCCCCACCTGTGAAGTCTGTAAGCCGGATTCACGCCCTCCCCTGAGTTCTGGCTAGGAGAATTCTCACCATGTTCAAATTGTTGCAGAGTTCAGCTAGGGAAGTCCTTCTCCCTGGTGGGGTCTTACCTCCTGCTCCTCTGGCCTCCCTCCTGATGGATCCCTGTGGTGTCAGGCAGGAATAGGCTGCTTGGGGATTCAGCAAGCTCCCAGGGCCTCCCTGCTGCCTCTTCCACCCCTGTATTTCACTCGGCTCTGCTAACTTGAATCAGCTCCAGATAAAGTCTGGAAAGTCTCTCATTAAAAGACCTTCAAACTCTCCAGTGGGGGTATGTGTTCCGGAAAGGAGGGTCTCCCTTTCCCACTTCCACAGTTAGGGCACTCACAGTATTTGGGGTGTCTCCTGGGTCCTGCAGGAGCAGTCTTCTTCCTTCAGAGGGTCTGTGGGTCTTCTCAGAATTGCTGTTTTGTCCTTGCAGTCGATCTGGAGCTAAAATTCACAATGCAAGCCTCCACAATGCTGCTCTATCCAGAACTGCAATCTATCCCTGCCTCTCATCTGCCATGATCCGCCCTCTCTCAAGAAAAGTAAACTCTAGGGGGTGGAGCCAAGATAGCCGAATAGGAACAGCTCCAGTCTACAGCTCCCAGCATAAGCGACGCAGAAAACGGGTGATTTCTGCATTTCCAACTGAGGTACCGGGTTCATCTCACTGGGGAGTGTGGGAAAGCGGGTGCAGGACAGTGGGGGCAGCACATCGAGCATGAGCCAAAGCAGGGCGAGGCATCGCCTCCCCCGGGAAGTGCAAGGGGTCAGGGAATTCCCTTTTTCTTAGTCAAAGGGATGACAGACGGCATCTGGAAAGTCGGGTCACTCCCACCCTAATAATGCACTTTTCCAACAGTCTCAGCAAACAGCACACCAGGAGATTATATCCCACACAAGGCTCAGAGGGTCCTACGCCCCTGGAGCCTTGCTCATTGCTAGCACAGCAGTCTGAGATCAAACTGCAAGTGGCAGTGAGGCTGGGGGAGGGGTGCCTGCCATTGCCAAGGCTTGAGGAGGTAAACAAAGTGTCCAGGAAGCTCAAACTGGGTGGAGCCCACCACAGCTCAAGGAGGCCTGCCTGTCTCTGTAGACTCCACCTCTAGGGGCATGGCATAGCCAAACAAAAGGCAGCAGAATCCTCTGCATACTTAAATGTCCCTGTCTGACAGCATTGAAGAGAGTAGTGGTTCTCCCAGCATGCAGCTGGAGATCTGAGAATGGACAGACTGCCTCCCAAGTGGGTCCCTGACCCCCGAGTAGCCTAACTGGTAGGCACCCCCCAGTAGGGGCAGACTGACACCTCACATGGCCAGGTACTCCTCTGAGACAAAACTTCCCGAGGAACGATCAGGCAGCAACATTTGCTGTTCACCAATATCCACTGTTCTGCAGCCTCCACTGCCAATACCCAGGCAAACAGGGTCTGGAGTGGACTTCCAGCAAACTCCAACAGACCTGCAGCTGAGGGTCCTGACTGTTAGAAGGAAAACTAACAAAGAGAAAGGACATACACACCAAAACCCCATCTGTACGTCACCATCATCAAAGACCAAAGGCAGATAAAACCACAAAGATGGGGAAAAAAACAGAGCAGGAAAACTAGAACCTCTAAAAATCAGAGCACCTCTCCTCCTCCAAAGGAATGCAGCTCCACACCAACAATGGAACAGATTCACCAAAGTTGAAATGAAGGAAAAAATGTTAAGGGCAGCCAGAGAGAAAAGTCGGGTTACCCACAAAGGGAAGCCCATCACACTAACAGCTGATCTCTTGGCAGAAACTCTACAAGCCAGAAGAGAGTGCAGGCCAATATTCAACATTCTTAAAGAAAAGAATTTTCAACCCAGAATTTCATATCCAGCCAAACTAAGCTTCACAAGTGAAGGAGAAACAAAATCCTTTACACACAAGCAAATGCTGAGAGATTTTGTCACCACCAGGCCTGCCCTAAAAGAGCTCCTGAAGGAAGCACTAAACATGGAAAGGAACGACTGGGACCAGCCACTGCAAAAACATGCCAAATTGTAAAGACCATCGAGGCTAGGAAGAAACTGCATCAACTAATGAGCAAAATAATCAGCTAACATCATAATGACAGGATCAAATTCACACATAACAATATTAACCTTAAATGTAAATGGCTTAATTGCTCCAATTAAAAGACACAGACTGGCAAATTGGATAAAAAATCAAGACCCATCAGTGTGCTGTATTCAGGAAACCCATCTCACACGCAGAAATACACATAAGCTCAAAATAAAGGGATGGAGGAAGATCTACCAAGCAAATGGAAAACAAAAAAGGCAGGGGTTGCAATCCTAGTCTCTGATAAAGCAGACTTTAAACCAAAAAAGATCAAAAGAGACAAAGAAGGCCATTACATAATGGCAAAGGGATCAATTCAACAAGAAGAACTAACTATCCTAAATATATATGCACCCAATACAGGAGCACCCAGATTCATAAGGCAAATCCTTAGAGACCTACAAAGAGACTTAGACTCCCACACAATAATAATGGGAGACTTTAACACCCCACTGTCAACATTAGACAGACCAATGAGGCAGAAAGTTAACAAGGATATCCAGGAATTGAACTCAGCTCTGCACCAAGCGGACCTAGTAGACATCTACAGAACTCTCCACCCCAAATCAACAGAATATACATTCTTTTCAGCACCACACCACACCTATTCCAAAACTGACCACATAGTTGGAAGTAAAGCACTCCTCAGCAAATGTAAAAGAACACAAATTACAACAAACTGTCTCTCAGACCACACTGCAATCAAACTAGAACTCAGGATTAAGAAACTCACTCAAAATCGCTCAACTACATGGAAACTGAACAACCTGCTCCTGAATGACTACTGGGTACATAACGAAACGAAGGCAGAAATAAAGATGTTTTTTGAAACCAACAAGAACAAAGACACAACATACCACAATCTCTGGGACACATTCAAAGCAGTGTGTAGAGCGAAATTGATAGCACTAAATGCCCACAAGAGAAAGCAGGAAAGATCTAAAATTGACACCCTAACATCACAATTAAAAGAACTAGAGAAGCAAGAGCAAACACATTCAAAAGCTAGCAGAAGGCAAGAAATAATTAAGATCAGAGCAGAACTGAAGGAAATGGAGACACAAAAAGCCCTTCAAAAAATCAACGAATCCAGGAGCTGGTTTTTTGAAACGATCAACAAAATTGATAGGCCACTAGCAAGACTAATAAAGAAGAAAACAGAGAAGAATCAAATAGATGCAATAAAAAAATGATAAAGGGGATATCACCACTGATCCCACAGAAATGCAAACTACCATCAGAGAATACTACAAACACCTCTATGCAACCAAACTAGAAAATCTAGAAGAAATGGATAAATTCCTCGACACATACACCCTCCCAAGACTAAACCAGGAAGAAGTTGAATCTCTGAATAGACCAATAACAGGCTCTGAAATTGAGGCAATAATTAATAGCTTACCAACCAAAAAAAGTCCAGGACCAGATGGATTCACAGCCGAATTCTACCAGAGGTAGAAGGAGGAGCTGGTACCATTCCTTCTGAAACTATTCCAATCAATAGAAAAAGAGGGAATCCTCCCTAACTCATTTTATGAGGCCAGCATCATCCTGATACCAAAGCCTGGCAGAGACACAAAAAAACAAGAGAATTTTAGACCAATATCCCTGATGAACACAGACGTAAAAGTCCTCAATAAAATACTGGCAAACCGAATCCAGCAGCACATCAAAAAGCTTATTCACCATGATCAAGTGGGCTTCATCCCTAGGATGCAAGGCTGGTTCAATATATGCAAATCAACATATATAATCCACCATATGAACAGAACCAACAACAAAAACCATATGATTATCTCAATAGATGCAGAAAAGTCCTTTGACAAAATTCAACAGCCCTTCATGCTAAAAACTCTCAATAAATTAGGTATTGATGGGAAGTATCTCAAAATAATAAGAGCTATCTATGACAAATCCACAACCAACATCATACTGAATGGGAAAAAACTGGAAGCATTCCCTTTGAAAACTGGCACAAGACAGGGATGCCCTCTCTCACCACTCCTATTCAACATAGTGTTGGAAGTTCTGGCCAGGGCAATCAGGCAGGAGAAGGAAATAAAGGGTATTCAATTAGGAAAAGAGGAAGTCAAATTGTCCCTGTTTGCAGATGACATGATTGTATATCTAGAAAACCCCATCATCTCAGCCCAAAATCTCCTTAAGCTGATAGGCAACTTCAGCAAAGTCTCAGGATACAAAATCAATGTACAAAAATCACAAGCATTCTTATACACCAATAACAGACAAACAGAGAGCCAAATCATGAGTGAACTCCCACTCACAATTGCTTCAAAGAGAATAAAATACCTAGGAATCCAACTTACAAGGGATGTGAAGGACCTCTTCAAGGAGAACTACAAACCACTGCTCAAGGAAATAAAAGAGGATACAAACAAATGGAAGAACATTCCATGCTCATGGGTAGGAAGAATCAAGATCGTAAAAATGGCCACACTGCCCAAGGTAATTTATAGATTCAATGCCATCCCCATCAAGTTACCAATGACTTTCTTCACAGAATTGGAAAAAACTTCTTTAAAGTTCATATGGAATCAAAAAAGAGCCTGCATTGCCAAGTCAATCCTAAGCCAAAAGAACAAAACTGGAGGCATCACGCTACCTGACTTCAAACTATACTACAAGGCTACAGTAACCAAAGCAGCATGGTACTGGTACCAAAACAGAGATATAGACCACTGGAACAGAATAGAACCCTCAGAAATAATGCCGCATATCTACAACTATCCAATCTTTGACAAACTTGACAAAAACAAGAAATGGGGAAAGGATTCCCTATTTAATAAATGGTGCTGGGAAAACTGGCTAGCCAGATGTAGAAAGCTGAAACTGGATCCCTTCCTTACACGTTATACAAAAATTAATTGAAGATGGATTAAAGACTTAAATGTTAGTCCTAAAACCATAAAATCCCTAGAAGAAAACCTAGGCAATACCATTCAGGACATAGGCATGGGCAACGACTTCATGACTAAAACACAAAAAGCAATGGCAACAAAAGACAAAATTGACAAATGGGATCTAATTCAACTAAAGAGCTTCTGCACAGCAAAAGAAACTACCATCAGAGTGAACAGGCAACGTACAGAATGGGAGAAAATTTTTGCAATCTACTCATCTGACCAAGGGCTAATATCCAGAATCTACAATGAACTCCAACAAATTTACAAGAAAAAAACAAACAACCCCATCAGAAAGTGGGCGAAGGATATGAACAGACACTTCTCAAAAGAAGACATTTATGCAGCCAAAAGACACATGAAAAAATGCTCATCATCACTGGCCATCAGAGAAATGCAAATCAAAACCACAATGAGATACCATCTCACACCAGTTAGAATGGCGATCATTAAAAAATCAGGAAACAACAGGTGCTGGAGAGCATGTGGAGAAATAGGAACACTTTTACACTGTTGGTGGGACTGTAAACTAGTTCAACCATTGTGGAAGTCAGTGTGGCGATTCCTCAGGGATCTAGAACTAGAAATACCATTTGGCCCAGCCATCCCATTACTGGGTATATACCCAAAGGATTATAAATCATGCTGCTATAAAGATGCATGCACATGTATATTTATTGCAGCACTATTCACAATAGCAAAGACTTGGCACCAAGCCCAATGTCCAAGAATGATAGACTGGATTAAGAAAATGTGGCACATATACACCATGGAATACTATGCAGCCACAAAAAGGATGAGTTCATGTCCTTTGTAGGTACATGGATGAAGCTGGAAACCATCCTTCTCAGCAAACTATTGCAAGGACAAAAAACCAAACACCGCATGTTCTCACTCATAGGTGGGAATTGAACAGTTAGAACACATGGACACAGGAAGGGGAACATCACACACCTGGGCCTGTTGTGGGGTGGGGGGAGTGGGGAGGGACAGCATTAGGAGATATACCTAATGTTAAATGACGAGTTAATGGGTGCAGCACACCAACATGGCACATGTATACATAGGTAACAAACCTGCACGTTGTGCACATGTACCCTAAAACTTAAAGTATACTAAAAAAAAAACTGAAAAAAAAAGAAAAGTAAACTCTATACACTGCTCATAGAAACACAAATTATTAAAGCCACTATGGAAAACAGTATGGATATTTCTCAAAAAAAAAAAACTCAGTATCAAGGCCTGGATGAGATGAGAGACTATTATACTAAGTAAAGTAACTGAGGAATGGAAAACCAAGCATCCTATGTTCTCACTTATAAGTGCGAGCTAAGCTATGAGGATGCAAAGGCATAAGAATGACACAATAGTCTTTGGGGACTCTGGGGGAAAGGGATAAACTACAAATAGGGTGCAGTGTATACTGCTCTGGTGATGGGTAAACAAAATCTCACAAATCACCACTAAAGAACTTACTCATGTAACCAAACACTACCTGTTTCCCAATAACCTATGGAAAAAAAAAAACTGTTTTAAACCACTAGGTCATTCACATGGTATGGTTTCCTCATACATTAGACCGAGTTTCAACCTCACTTATTCCATTGAGGAATACATTTGTTTGATCCCGTACTCTATTTTTAGAGTTAACTATCAGCCTGATTGTGAATACATTCAATTTCAGTATGTTTATAGCAGCACAATTCACAACTGCAAAAATATGGAACCAGCCCAAATGCCCATCAATCAATGAGTGGTTAAAGAAACTGTGCTATATATGTACATGATTGAATACTACTCAGCCATAAAGGAATGAATTAATGGCATTTGCAGCCACCTGGATGGGATTGAAGACTAATATTCTAAATGAAGTAACTTACGAATGGAAAGCCAAACATCATATGTTCTCACTCGTAAGTGGGAGCTAAGTTATAAGGATGCAAAGGCATAAGAATAATACAATGGACTCTGGGGACTCAGGGAAAGGGTCCAAAGGGGATAGTGATAAAAGTCTACAAATTAACTTCAGTGTATACTGTTCAGGTGATGGGTGCACCAAAACCTCACAAATCACCACTAAAGAACTTACTCATGTAACCAAATACCACATGTTCCCCAAAAACCTATGGAAATAAAAAATAAAAGACATAGAGTGGCTGAATAGATAAAAATAAAGCAAGACCTAATAATCTGTTGCCTACAAGAAACACATTCCACCTAGAAAGACACACATAGACTGACAATAGAGAGATGGAAAAAGGTACTCCATGCCAAGGGAAACCAAAGAAGAGCAGGACTAGCTGAACTTACTTGAAAAGAAATAGGGTTCAAGACAAAAACTACAAAGAAGGTCACTATATAAAGATAAAGGGGCCAATTCAGCAAGAGCTTATAACAAATTAAAATATATATACACCCAACACTGGAGCACCCAGATATCCAAAACAAATATTATTAGAGCTAAAAAGAGAGATAAAGTCTAATAAAACAATAACTGGATACTTCAACATCCCACTTTCAGTATTGGACAGGACTTCCAGACACAATATCAGCAAAGAAACATTGGACCTAATCTGTACTACAGGACAAATGAACCTAATAGATATTACAGAACATTTCATCTACAGAACATTTCATCAGCTGCAGAATATATATTCTTCTCCTCAGCACATGGATCATTCTCAAGGATGTACCATATGCTAGGTCACAAAACACACCTTAAAATTTAAAAAAATGAAATAATATCAAGTTTCTTCTCTGACCACAATAGAATAAAACTAAAAATTAATAACAAGAAAAATTTTGAAAACACATGATAATGAAACCATAACATACCAAAACCTATGGGATAAAACACAAGCAGTAGTGAAAAAAAAAAGTTTATACCTATATGTACCTACATCAAAAAAGAGGAAAAAATTCAAATAAACAACAACAATCCATCTTAAAAAGAACTAGAAAACAAGACAAAACCAAACCCAAAATTAATGGAAAGATAGAAATAATAAAGATTGAAACAAATAAAAATTAAATGAAACTGAAATTAAGAATACAAAAGATTAATGAAACAAAAAGTTAGTTTTCTGAGAAGTTAAACAAAATTGACAAACCTTTAGTCTGACAAAGAAAAAAAGAGAAAAGAGCCAAATAAATAAAGTCACAGATGAAATAGGAAACATTACAACTAATACTGCAGAAATTCAAAGCACCATTAGTGGCTACTATGAGCAACTATATCCAAATAAATTGGAAACTATAAAATAAGTGGATAAATTCCTAGATGCATTCAACCTACCAAGATTGAAACATAAAGAAATCCATAACCTGAACAGATCAATAACAAATAATGAGATCAAAGACATAATAAAAAGTCTCCCACGAAAGAAAAGCCCAGGACCTGATGGCTTTACTGATTAATTCTATGAAATATTTAAAGAACTAATACCAATTCTACTAAAACTATTCTGAAAAATAGAGGAGGATAGAATACTATCAAACTCTTTCTATGAGGCCAGTATTACTCTGATACCAAAACCAGACAACGACACTTCAAAAAAAGAAAACTACAAGCCAATATCTTTGATGAATATTCATGTATAAATCCTCAACAAAATACTAGCAAACCAAGTTGAACAAAACATTAAGAAGATTGTTCATCATGATCAAGTGGGATTTATCCCTGGGATGCAAAAATGGTTCAACAAACACAAATCAATCAACGTGATAGATCTTAGCAACAAAATGAAGAATGAAAACCATATGAGTATTTCAATTGATGGTGAAAAAGCATTTGATAAAATTCAACATCCCTTCAGGATAAAAACCATCAGAAATATGGGTATAGAAGGAACATACCTCAACATAATAAAAGCCATATATGACAGACCCATAGCTAGTATCATACTAAATGGGGAATAACTGAAAGCCCTTCATCTAAGATATGGAACAGGACAAGGATGCCCACTTTCACTACCATTATTCACCATAGTACTGGAAGTGCTTGCTAGAGCAATCAGACAAGAGAAAGCAATACAGGGCATCCAAACTGAAAAGGAAGAAGTCAAATTATCCTTGTTTGGAGATGATATAACCCTATATTTAGAAAAATCTAAAGATTCCATCAAAAAACCATCAGAACTGACAAATTCAGTAAAGTTGTAGAATACAAAATCAACATACAAAAATCAGTAGCATTTCTATATACCAACAGTAAACAATGTGAATAAAAAATAAACAAAAAAAATCCTATTTAAAATTGCCACAAATAAATTTAAATACCTAAAAATTAACCTAAGAAGGTCTATTAGTCCATTTTCACACCACTGATAAAGACATACCCGAGACTGGGCAATTTACAAAAGAAAGGGGTTTAATGGACTTACGGTTCCACGTGGCTGCAGAAGCCTCACAATCAAGGTGGAAGGCAAGAAGGAGCAAGTCATGACTTACATGGATGGCAGCAAGCAAAGACAGAGATTGTGCAGGGGGACTCCTCTTGATAAAACCATCGGATCTCCTGAGACTTATTCACTATTGTTAAAACAGCAGGGGAAAGACCCGCCCCCATGATTCAATTACCTTCCACTGTACCTTCCACAACACGTGGGAATTGCAGCAGTTACAATTCAAGATGAGATTTGGGTGGGGACATAGCCAAACCATATCATTCCAACCCTGGCCCCTTCCAAATCTCATATCCTCACATGTCAAAGCCAATCATGCCTTTGCAACAGTCTCCCAGTCTTAACTCATTTCAGCATTAACTCAAAAGTCCACAGTCCAAAGTCTCATCTGAGACAAGGCAAGTCACTTCTGCCTATGAGCCTGTAAAATCAAAAGCAAGCTACTTACTTCCTAGATACAATGGAGGTACAGGCATTGGGTAAATACAGCCATTCCAAATGGGAGAAATTGGCCAAAAGAAAGGGGCTACAGGCCCCGTGCAAATCCAAAATCCAGCAGGGCAGACAAATCTTAAAGGTCCAAAATGATCTCCTTTGACTCCATGTCTCATATCCAGGTCAAGCTGATGCAAGAGGTGGGTTGCCATGGTCTTGGGTAGCTCTAGCCCGGTGGCTTTGCAGGGTATAGCCTCCCTCCTGGCTGCCTTCACAGGCTGGCAGTGAGTGTGCAGCTTTTGCAGATACACAGTACAAGCTGTCAATGGATCTACCATTCTGGGGTCTGGAGGACAGTGGCCCTCTTCTCACAGCTCCACCAGGTGGTACCCCAGTAGGGACTCTTTGTGGGGACTCTGACCCCACATTTCCCTCCCATACTGCCCTAGCAGTGGTTCCCCATGACAGCTCCACGCCTGCAGCAAACTTCTGCCTGGAGATCCAGGCATTTCCATACATCCTCTGAGATCTAGGCAGAGGTTCCCAAACCTCAATTCTTGACTTCTGTGCTCTTTCAGGCTCAATACCATGTGGAAGCTGCCAAGGCTTGAGGCTTGAACCCTCTAAAGCCACAGCCCAAGCTCTACATTGACCCCTTTCACCCATGGCTGGAGTGGCTGGGATGTGGGGCAGCAAGTCCCTAGGCTGAACACAGCACAGGGACCCTGGACCTGGCCCACAAAACCACTTTTTCCTCCTAGGCCTCTGGGCCTGTGATGGAGGGCCTGCCCTGAAGACCTCTGACATGCCCTGGATACATTTTCCCCATTGTCTTGGGGATTAACATTCAGCCCCTTGTTACTTATGCAAATTTCTTCAGTGGGCTTAAATTTGTGCTCAGAAAATGGGATTTTCTCTTCTATGCCATTGTAAGGCTGCAAATTTTCCAAAATTTTATGCTTTTCTTCCCTTATAAAACTGAATGCCTTTAACAGCACCCAAGTCACCTCTTGAGTGCTTTGCTGCTTATAAATTTCTTCCACCAGATACCCTAAATCATCTCTCTCAAGTTCGAAGTTCCACAAATCTCTAAGGCAGGGGCAAAATTCCACCAGTCTCTTTGCTAAAACATAACAAGAGTCACCTCTGCTCCAGTTCCCAACAAGTTCCTCATTTCCATCTGAGACCATCTTAACCTGGACTTTCTTGTCCATATTGCTATCAGCATTTTGGGCAAAGCCATTAAACAAGTCCCTAGGGAGTTTCAAACTTTCCCACATTTTCCTGTCTTCTTCTGAGCCCTCCAAACTGTTCCAACCTCTGCTTGTTACCCAGTTCCAAAGTCACTTCCACATTTTTGGGTATCTTTTCAGCAGCACCCCACTTCTGGTACCAATTTATTGTATTAGTCCATTTTCACACTGCTGATAAAGATATACCTGAGACTGGGCAATTTACAAAAGAAAGAGGTTTAATTGGACTCAGTTCGACGTGGCTGGGGAGACCTCACAATCATGGCAGAAGGCAAGGAGGAGCAAGTCACGTCTTACATGGATGGCAGCAGGGAAAAAGAGAGACCTTGTGCAGAAAAACCGTAGATTTTTAAAACCTTCAGATCTCATGAGACTCATTCACTCTCACAAAAACAGTGCAGGAAAGACCCACCCCCATAATTCAGTCACCTCCCACCGGGTTCCTCCCATGACATGTGGGAAATGTGGGAGTTACAATTCAAGACGAGATTTGGTTGGGGACACAGTCAAACCATATTACTACCCAAAGAAGACTACCTCAAGGCATTTAATAATCAGAACCCCAAAGGTCAAGGACAAACAAAGGATCCTAAAAACAGCAAGAGAAAAGAAACAAATAACATACAATGGAGCTGCAATACATCGGGCACCAAACTTTTCAGAGAAAACCTTACAGGCCAGGAGATCTGTAAGGTACAAGCAATCTACAGATTCAACAAAATTTCCATCAGTATACCGATGACATTCTTCACAGAAACAGAAAAAACAATCCTAAAATGTTTATAGAACCAATAAAACTCCAGAATAGCCAATGCTATCCTAAGCAATAAGAACAAAACTGGAGGAATCACATTACCTGACCTCAAATTATATTACAGAGCTACAGTTACCAAAACAACATGGTACTGGCATTAAAACGGACACATAGACCAATGGAACAAAGTATAAAATCCAGAAACAAATCCACACAAATACAGTGAACTCATTGTTGACAAAGGTGCCAAGAATGTACACTGGGAAAAAGACACTCTCTTCAATAAATGGTGCTGGGAAAACTGAATATCCATATGCAGAAGAATGAAACTAGACTCATATATCTCTTGCCATATACAAAAATCAAATCAAAATGGATTAAATACCTAAATCTAAGACCTGAAACTATGAAACTACTGAAACAAAACACTGGAGAAATTCCAAGAGGCATCAATCTTGGCAAAGATTTCTTGAGTAATACCCCACAAGCACAGGCAACCAAAGCAAAAATAGGCAAATGAGATCACATCAAGTTAAAAAGCTCCTGTACAGCAAATGGTACAACCAACAATGTGAAGAGACTACCCACAGAATAGGAGAAAATATTTGCAAACTACCCATCTGACAAGGGATTAATAACCAGACAATATAAGAAGCTCAAACAACTCTATAGGAAAACAATCTAATAATCTGATTTTAAAAAATAGGCAAAAGAGTTGAATAGACATTATCAAAAGAAGACACAAAAATGGAAAATGTATATGAAAAGGTGTTTGACATCACTGACCATCAGAGAAATACAAATCAAAACTACAATGAGATATTATCTCATTCCAGTTAAAATGGCTTTTATACAAAAGACAGGCAATAACAAATGCTGATGAGGGTGTGGAAAAAAGAGAGCCCCCTACACTGTTGGCGGGATTGTAAATTATTAATACTCAACCACTATAAAGAAGAGGTTTGGAGGTTCCTCAAAAAACTAAAAATAGAGTACCATGTAATCCAGCAATCTGACTGCTGGGTATATCCAAAAGAAAGAAAATCCATATACCAAAGAGATGTCTGCACTCCCAGGTTTGTTGCAGTACTCTTCACAATAGCCATCATTTGGAAGCAGTCTAAGTGTCCATCAACAGATGAATGGATAAAGAAAATGTGGTACCAAAACAAGGATGCCCTCTCTCACCACTCCTATTCAACATAGTATTGGATTCCTGTCCAGAGCAATCAGGCAAAACAAACAAAGGGCATCCAAATAGGAAGAGAGGACTTCAAACTGTCCCTGTGTGCAGATGACATGATTCTGTGTCTAGAAAATCCATAGTCTCAGGCCAAAAGCTCCTTTAGCTGATAAACTACTTCAGCAAAATTTCAGGATACAAAAATCAATGGACAAAAATCACTAGCATTTCTACACACCAATAACAGTGAAGCCAAGAGCCAAATCAGGAATACAATGCCATTCACAATTGCCACAAAAAGAATAAAATACCTAAAAATATAGCTAACCAGTGAGGTGAAAGATCTCTACAATGAGAACTCCAAAACACTGCTTAAAGAAATCTGAGATGAGATGATACAAACAAATGGAAAAACATTCCATGCTCATGGATAGGAAGAATCAATATTGTTTAAATGGCCATACTGCCCAAAGTAATTTACAGATTCATTGCTATTCCTATCAAACCACCAATGACATTCTTCACATAACTAGAAAAAGATGTTTTTTTCTTTTTTCTTTTTTTTTGAGACAGAGTCTCGCTCTGTTGCCCAGTCTGGAGTACAATGGCGTGATCTCAGCTCACTGCAACCTCCACCTCCCGGGTTCAAGCAATTCTCCTGCCTCAGTCTCCCGAGTAGCTGGGATTACAGGCACCCACCACCGCACCTGGCTAATTTTTGTATTTTTAGTAGAGACTAAAAATCTCTACTAAAAGTGGGTTTCGCCATGTTGGCCAGGCTGGTTTTGAACTCCTGACCTCAGGTGATCCACCCGCCTCGGCCTCCCAAAGTGCTGGGATTACAGGCATGAGCCACCATGCCCGGCCAAAAAAACTATTTTAAAATTCATCTGGAACCAAAAAAAAAGAGCCCGAATAGCCCAGGCAACCCTAAGCAAAGAGAACAAAGCTGGAGGCATCACATTACCTGACTTCAAACTATACTACAGGACTACAGTAATCAAAATAGCACAGTGCTGATACAAAAACAGACACATAGACCAATGGAACAAAATAGGGAACCCAGAAATAAGGTCATACACCTACAACCATCTGATCTTCAACAAAGCTGACAAAAACAAGCAATGGGGAAAGGACTCCCTATTCAATAAATGGTGCTGGGATATCTGGCTAGCCATAGACAAAAGATTGAAACTGGACCCCTTTCTTATACCATATACAAAATCAATGCAAGATGGATTAAAGACTTAAATGTAAAATTCGAAACTATAAAAATCCTGGAAGACAACACAGGCAATACCATTCTGGACATAGGAATGAGCAAAGATTTATAATAAAGATGCCAAAAGCAATTGCAACAAAAGCAAAAAATGACAAATGGGATCTAATTAAACTTGAGAGCTTCTGCACTGCAAAAGAAACTATCAACAGAGTAAACAGACAACCTACAGAATGGGAGAAAATATTTGTAAACTATGCATCTGACAAAGGTCTAATATCCAGAATCTCTAAGCAACTTAAACAAATTTACAAGAAAAAAACAACCCCATCAATAGGTGGGCAAAGGATACAAGCAGATACTTTTCAAACGAAGACATACATGTGGCCAACATGTATATGAAAAAAGCTCAATATCACTGATCATTAGAGAAATGCAAATCAAAGCCACAATGAGATACCATTTCACACCAGTCAGAATGGCTATTATTAAAAAGTCAGGCCAGGCACAGTGGCTTATTTCTGTAATCCTAGCACTTTGGGAGGCTGAAATGGGCAGATCACTTGAGCCCAGGAGTTAGAGACGAGCCTGGGCAACATGGCAAAACCCCACCTCTACAAAAAGTACCAAAATTAGCTGGGCATGGTGGCACACACCTATAGTCCTAGCTACTAAGGAGGCTGAGGTGGGAGGATTGCTTGAGCCCAGGAGGTCGAAGCTGCACTGAGCTGTGAGCGTGCCTCTGTAGTCCATCCAGGGTGACAGAGTGAGACCCAGTCTCAAATAAAAAGAAGTCAAAAAATAACAGGTGTTGACAAGGTTGCAGAGAAAAGGGAACACTTATATACTGCTGGAGGGAGTATAAATTAGTTCAACCATTCTGGAAAGCAGTGTGGCGATTCCTCAAAGAGCTAAAAACAGAACTACCATTTTACCCAGCAATCGCATAACTGGGTATATACCCAAAGGAATATAAATTATCTACCATAAAGACAAATGCAGGCCAGGTGCAGTGGATGCCTGTAATCCTAGCACTTTGGGAGGCCGAGGCAGGTGGATCACTTGAGGTCAGAAGTTCAAGACCAGCCTGGCCAACATGATGAAACCCTGCCTCTACTAAAAAAATACGTAAATTAGCCGGAAATCACTTGAACCTGGGAGGCAGAGGTTATAATGAACCGAGATCACATCACTACACTCCAGCCTGCGCAACAGAGCAAGACTCCATCTAAATATATATATATACACACACACATACATGCATGTGAAAGTTCATTGCAGCACTATGCACAATAGTAAAAACATGGAATCAATCTAAATGCCCATCAATGGACAGATTGGATAAAGAAATGTGGTACATATACATCATGGAATACTGTGCAGCCATAAAAATGAACAAGATCAGGTCTTCTGGGAACATGGATGGAGCTGAAGGCCATTATCCTTGGCAAACTAATGCAGGAACGGAAAACCAAATACCCCATGTTCTCACTCATAAGTGGGAGGTAAATGATGAGAACTCACGGACACAAAGAGGGGAACAACAGACACTGGGGCCTACGTAACGTTGGAGGGTAAGAGGAGGGAGAGAATAAGGAAAAATAACTATTTGGTACTAGGGTGGCAAAATAATCTGTATGACAAACCCCTGTGACACAAGTTTACCTATATAACAAACCTGCACATATACCCCTGAACATAAAATTTAAAAAAATTTTAATGTGGTACTTATATGCAATGGAGCACTATTCAGCCATAAAAAAGAATGAGATCCTGTTATTTGCAACCACATGGATGGAACCGAAAGTCATTATGGTAAGTGAAATAAGCCAAGGACAGAAATACAAACATCACACGTTTTCACTTATTTGTGGGATCCAAAACTCAAAACAATTGAACTCATGGACACAGAGAGTAGAAAGATGGTTACCAGAGGCTGGAAAGGATAGTGGGAGGGTGGAGACGCAGGTAGGTTTATGTGTACAACAAAATAGAAACGATGAATAAAACCTGGTATTTGCTAGCACAACAGAGTGACTATAGTCAATAATAACTTAATTGTAAATTTTAAAATAACTAAGAGTGCAATTGGATTGCTTGTAACACAAAGGATAAATGCTTGAAGAGATAGATACCCTATTTTCCATGATGTGATTATTTCACATTGCATGCATGCATCAAAACATTTCATGTACCCATAAATATATACACTTACTATATACACAGAAAAATTAAAAATTAAAAATATATATAGATAGCCGTTTGTCTTATATTTACATTCCTTTTAAAAGTCTTATATTTCTGTATATGAAGAATACACAATACGACGTACAAAATTTAAATGTGCAAGAGTTAAATTGTTGAGGACAGAAATATAATGAAAAATATTGTCAGATTTTCTCACACATATTATTTAACTTATCCTACTATTAATTACTACTAATGGCCACTGTTTAGTCCTAGTGTTTTGTTTAAATAGCACTTATGTAACAGAAAATAATACATAAAAAACATATAATTTCAAGTGAACACTTATTCTTAAGTAATGATACATATGGACAATTATTTATAATATGTTATGGGTTTTCTTCATCTAGCACATCTATGTCCTGGGTTGGCTCTCTGAAGGTTGGCCACCCTAAGACTATAGTACCATTCTAGTGGGAGGAAAAATATATAAACAAGATACTATTTGTAAATTGCACAGAATAGAAACTGATAAACAATGGTGCCATCTGTGAAAGTGACATCAGTGGCTGGAACAGGTGAGAGAGGCTTTCTTTTACTAGGGTATTTTAAAGTAGTCTTAAATGTTGTACCTTGCAAATATACCACGTATTTTTATTTTATTTTATTTCTTTTTCTGAGATGGAGTCTCGCTCTGTCGCCCAGGCTGGAGTGCAGTGGCGCAGTCTCGACTCACTGCAACGTCCACCTCCTGGGTTCCAGCGATTGTCCTGCCTCAGCCTCCTGAGTAGCTGGGACTATAGGCGTGCCCTGCCATGCCCGGCTACATTTTGTATTTTTAGTAGAGACAGGGTTTCACCACATTGGCCAAACTGATCTCAAACTCCTGACGTTAAGTGATCCGCCCGCCTCGGCTCCCGAAGTGCTGGGATTACAGGCGTGAGCCACCGTGCCTGGCCCCCACCTATTTTTAAATGTACCTTGCAAATATTCAAAAGCAAGGGACTGTTACTAGTTTTACACAGAGGTTGGCCACAGTAAGAGTGGAGAAAGGCACTAGCTCAGCGTGGGAGCACGTGCTCTCACTGGAAACAATGTATTGAGAACACATGGTTCTTGGTTGGGGGGAGTTCCTGCCCAAACTTCAAGATGGCGGCCAGGTGGACTGCTGATTCTGATGAGTCTGATGAGGTGAGCTGCGCCACAAAACTGAAGGACCCGCTAAGCCTGGGAAATTAGTATGTATTTGTGTAAGTGTTTGTGAGGAGAGCCACTGGAGGGTTTTAAGGAAAATAATGATTGGATTTATGACTGAAAGGTCCGTCTAGCTGTGTAAGGAATGTGGGGGGACACTATTTGGGGAGCATATTTCTGTAATCTTGGTAAGGATGTTGGCTTGGACTCGTTAGCATAGTAGCACTGGATGGAGATGTGGAGACATGGATAGAACTTTGGGAGGTCACCCGGACAAGACTTGTTGCTAGGTTGAGTGTGGATTGTGAGGGAAAGCGCCAACATGGCTGCCTGCTCCGTTTCTGGCCTGGGTGAGTCACGGTTCCTGTTCCTGAGGGAGAATCCTAGGGCGTTGGTGGATGTGGAGGGTAAGAATGAGTTATCTGCGACATTTTAAGCCAGAGATAGTTAACTGATGCACATTTTTTGAAAGTCACTGGGGCTGGATGGTAGGTTCTCACGAAAAGTCATTCGGGCTGTTCTGTGGGTGAGGGGCTGGGAAGGGTGTAACTGGGAGGCAAGGAAGGGTCCTGTGTTGGCCTCAGCGGGGAGACAGGAAGCTGCTCCAGGGCCAAGAGAGGCTAGAGGGTCTCTAACGGGCCGAGTGAAGGCTTTAGTTTTTCATCAGTGTGAAATGGGCAGCCACGGTAGGGCTTTGAGTGTGACAAGGGCTGACCAAAGTCTTGCTGTGGGGAGAGCAAGCTATTGGGTAGGATTGTCAGATTTAGCTAATAAAAATCCAGGACACCCGGTTAAATATGAATATCAGAACAATTATTTCGTAGCATAAGTATGGCCTGTGCAAATCTGGGATATACTTATACTAAAAATGTATTCCTTGTTGATGTGACATTCAAACGTAACGGGTCCAACTGTGTTGGACCAAGCAGCCCTAACACCGACTGGGTCTGGAATTCCGGGAGGCCGAAAGGGGCAAAGGTGGTAGCCGTGGAGGTGTGAGGAGGGACCCCCGCAAAGGTGAGGTTGGCCCACTTGGTGCCCTTTGCCGGGAAACAACTCTGGGAAGTCGAGCTTCTCGGCCCCTCTACTTCTTTCAGGCCCCAGCAGGCTCCATGGGGAAGGATTACCTGCCTCTTCCAATACTGAACTCGGGCACCCCAGCGCGTCTCTTCCCCTGGCCAGCGGCTTGCTGAAACTCCCGCCCCCGGCGGCTGGCACGTAACCCCGCCTTCCGTTTCCCTCCTCCCGCTCCCCGCAGGGGTGGAGCCTGAGCGAGGAGCCCGCGAGCTCTCCTCTCTCCTCTGTCTCCGCGGATGACGAGTGGCTGGATAACATGGAGTCGGGCAAGATGGCGCCTCCCAAGAACGCTCCGAGAGATGCCTTGGTAAGTGCGAAGGATAAGCCGCGGATCGCGAAGCCAGGTGCAGCCAGGGACCTGCGAGGCGGGGCCACGCTGAGGGCCTGAGGGTCGGCTCGCACGCTCGTTTCAGTCTAGTCAGGGCCGTCAGGAGGAGAGGGTGATGGGGATGCGCCCTGGCCCCCGGGCCCCTATCTCGCCGCTTGGGCCAAGTCTTGCCAGAGGGTCGCGGTCCAGTGGAGCTTGCGGAACGGCTGCCCAGCTTTGTGTCCTGGGCTTCGGGCCCCTGCCTCCCCCTCGTCTCTAGCTATCTGCCAGCCCTGACTCCGCGTCCAGGGTTCTGATGCTACCTTAACCCGCCGCCACAGCCAAAAATGACAACCAGCTGGAGCTACTTACCTCTGCTGGAGAAGCCAAATTCTGTCTTCTCTTTGCCCCACACCCCGCCCCCAACCCCGCCAAAAAATAAAAATAAAAGTTTTCTGCAAAAGCGTACTATGCGATTTCGTGTGATCACTGACTCACTTGGGAGGGCAAGGGTGAGTAGGACTTTGGAGCCCAAAGAAGGGGAACCTTGTATCATAAATATAAATACTACCCTTCAGTGCAGCCTTGATTTCCAGTACCAAATTCTGCATCTGGTGTTTTTATTTGAATCCACAGGTGATGGCACAGATCCTGAAGGATATGGGAATCACAGAGTATGAACCAAGGGTTATAAATCAAATGTTGGAATTTGCTTTCCGTAAGTTAATGAAACACCAAAAACTTGCCTAACTTGTGAACTTGAAAAGATATTTTTATTGTAAGAACATTTTCTTTTATTTTCTTTTTTGAGACAGGGACTCGCTGTTGCCCAGGCTAGAAGGCAGTGGCGCGATCTTGGCTCACTGCGGCCTCCGCCTCCTGGGTTCAAGCGATTCTTGTGCCTCAGCCTCCCGAGCTGGGACTACAGGCACTTGCCACCACGCCCGGCTAAGTGTTGTATTATTAGTAGAAAGGGAGTTTCGCCATATTGCCCAGGCTGGCCTCGAACTACTGACTCAAGTGATCCCCCCATCTCGGCCTCCCAAAGTGTTGGGATTACAGGCGTGAGCCACCGCACCCAGCCTTGTAAGAACATTTTCAACCAAATTATGTTAACAGTATCATAGAATTCAGCCTAAAGAACGAAAGGAGCTCAAGCTAGGGGACAGTAGTATTCACACTGTGATATCTGTTTAAAACTGATCATATAGACAGGACAATTACTTATTAAAATCAGCATTTAGGCTGAGCACAGTAGCTTACACCTGTAATCTCAGCACTTCGGGAGGCTGTCGCGGGGAGGCCAGGAGTTTCCTGGGCAACATAGCGAGACCCTGTCTCTACAAAAACCCACAAAATTTATAAACCGTCTACAAATTAGTGGAAAGTTTTATTAAGACAAGTAGCCATAAATATTAAGCTGTCTTCATATGTTTAAGAAAAGATTGTTTTGTTCTTATAGGTTATGTGACTACAATTCTGGATGATGCAAAAATTTATTCGAGCCATGCTAAGAAACCTAATGTTGATGCAGATGATGTGAGACTGGCAATCCAGTGTCGTGCTGACCAATCTTTTACCTCTCCTCCCCCAAGAGATGTGAGCAAACTTTGATTTGAAGTTATTTTTACTTACAATTTTTAAAACTGTAGTTCTAATAAGGATTTTTTTTTTAAGTTTTTACTGGATATCGCAAGGCAGAAAAATCAAACCCCTTTGCCACTGATTAAGCCATATGCAGGACCTAGACTGCCACCTGATAGATACTGCTTAACAGCTCCAAACTATAGGCTGAAGTCCTTAATTAAAAAGGTAAGAAATTTTAGTCAACTTTTCTTTTTTTAAAAGGTGGAATATGATAGGGGACTTTGTGAAAAGCAAATTCCTGTAGCTAGTATAGTAGATTAAAGGTTAAGATAACTTACTAGAATTTTTTTAATTTTAAAAAATTTTCGAGCTAGATGGAACTTTAGTGTTCATCTAACTCAACAGTCATTTTTCACATCAGGAAGCAGGGCCTGAACTCATTTATGAAGTTAGTAGCAAAGCTAGGACTGATTCCAAGCCTCATAACTCCCAGTCTTTCCACTATATCATAGTTTTTTAGTGAGGCCTAATAACAGAGGAAATGATACCATCAGGAATTAGGCCAGCTTTCTAAAATATGACATAAAGCTCTCCCACCACTGAAAAAGTTCTCCCCATAATAGGCTGCCTTTTCTGAAGTTCCACTATAAGAGTTTTATTCTTTTTTGGGTTAAGAAATTGACCAGTTAAGATTAAAAATCACAAAGTAGTTACAGTCTTATTTGAATGGGGATAACCGCTATCTTAAACTTTAATACTGCATAAGATTTTATACGTATTCATATCTATTTTTATATAGATAGAGATGTATATATGTTTATACAAACCCCAGATTAAATGTTGGATTTAGAACACTGAGAGAACAAAAACAGGACTTTCTTGCCATGGATTATCCATAATCATTTACATCAGCAATCCTAATTTCATTCCTGGTAAATTTAGGTGTCACATCTTAACATTAATTTGTTTTTTAAATCCCCTAGGGACCTAACCAAGGGAGACTAGTTCCACGATTAAGTGTTGGTGCTGTTAGTAGCAAACCTACTACTCCTACTATAGGTAAGTGAGAGGAGACAATGGCATTTCTGGCTGGTAAAGCAGTGCCTCAGCACTTGGTTTTGAACTATAATGCAAGTCAAAAAGTGAATCAGAAATTCTTGTGTATGTGTTACTATTAATAATTTTACTCATCCTCTAGTAAAGCTATAAACATACATGTTACTGGATTTCAAAATGAGAAAGCCACAAGGAACGTCTGATCTCAAATGAATATAAAATTGGACATTGCCCCCATTGTTGTTGGTATAAACTCTGATACCAAAAACAGGAGTTTACTCTTAGCTGTGTACTTTACGCCTTCTATAAGGTGCCACACACACTTATGGCAGTAGACTACTTATTAGAAATTTAAATTTCCAAATACATTGATGAGAATACAGTAGAAAGAAGATTAAGGTGTACAAAAATCTTAAGGATTTCAAAGAAAAAAATTGTTTTTAATACTAACCTTTTTAAAACATAGTACTGATTGTTTTAGATTGGTCAGTGGGAGCCCCTTCAAGCTGTTTCCTGTGTCCTTTTGACGTATCTGCATCATTCTGTGATCATTTCTTGCTTTCTGATGCAACAAGATGTTCCAAACTCATCTTTATATTTTTCTGCCTAGGTCCTAGAATCATCCACTTGTCCAAAGAGCTCTAGTTCCTTTTAGTGGAGAATGGTATTTAGAAACCATTATTTGTTTCTTTTTAATATTGTTGTTTAGATAATAAGGAAAACAAATAATGGACTTAGATTTCCTGTTTTTTTTTTCCTACATTCCTGCTGGGTTTCTTGCATAGTCTAGTATTCAAAGTATTTTCAGAAAAGTCCCTTTTCACCAGTATTAATTTATTGGCTCTTATTGCTTATAACTTGAGTCCTATAGCTGTCATATAGCTCAGGTATAAACAGCATTTGATTTTTGAGGTGTGTAAACCCTCTCTTCATATTCTCAGGATGTAAATTTGCATTTCAGCATTGTAAAACCAGTTTGGGTATAGTATTAGTTGTACATGTCTAATTACCTACCTGTGACCTTTGTGGACAGAAATCTGCATTATAATCTTTGTAAATTTTCATCATATACTGTTTGTCTGTGGGTTCACATTACTTAAATGAATACCAGCTTTTTTAAACCCCTAGGCTGGTAATCAGTTTCGTGTGTTAGGCAGGTTAACCAATTTTAGTTATCAGTTGTGATTTTTATTCCTAGCTAGACATTTGTTGTACATACTGTTCAGAGATTGTTAAAATCTAGAGTCAGGGCACTACCAAAAAACGCCTGATAGTTTTAAAGATGCAAGTTTTTTTTTGTTTTTATTTTTTATTTTTTGAGACAGACTCTCACTCTGTTACCCAGGCCAGGCTGGAGTGCAATGGCACAATCTTGGCTCACTGCAACCTCTGCCTCCTGGGTTCAAGCAATTCTCCTGCCTCAGCCTCCCGAGTAGCTGGGATTACAGGTGTGCGTCACCACACCAGGCTAATTTTTGTTTTTTTGTGTTTTTTTTTTTTTTCAGTAAAGACGGGATTTCACCATGTTGGCCAGGCTGGTCTTGAACTCCTGACCTCAAGTGATCTGCCTGCCTCGGCCTCCCAAAGTGCTAGGATTACAGGTGTGAGCCACCACGCCAGGCATAAAGATGCAAGTTTTAAAATTTAAAAAAATTAAAATGAGTTGGCCAGGTGCGGTGGCTCACACCTGTAATCCTAGCACTTTGGGAGGCCAAGGTGGGCCTATCACTTGAGGTCAGGAGTTCAAGAGCAGCCTGGCCAACATGGTGAAACCCCGTCTCTACTAAAAATACAAAAATTAGCCAGGCATGGTGGCGGGTGCCTGTAATCCCAGCTACTCGGGAGGCTGAGGCACGAGAATTGCTTGAACCCAAGAGGCGGAGGTCACAGTGAGCCAAGATCATGCCACTGCATTCCAGCTTGGACGACAGAGTAAGACTCTGTCTCAAAAAAAAAAAAAAATTAAAATGATTTATATAGACTTAAGACCTGAGTATTTACTCTGTTCAATTGGGGGAAGCTCCATCTACAGTCTAATGTGTTCAGTTTTAAAGCCTGAACTCCATACCTACTAAAATGTATTAACAATCCTTAGGCCAAGAAAACATCCACCTACTGTGAGTTTTCTTTTTTCTTTATAAAATAAAATACTTACATTGCTTCATTACGCTTCACCAAATTCTTTGAACTGATCCTTAACACATGGGAAAACTTACCTAGGGATGGAGATATTTTAGAGGAAGGTCTCACCTTCTGTGTTTGGGAGAGAAAGCAGTAAAACCCGGATTTCTCAGTACCTTTGGGCTTTATTCCCTTAGACTTTCTTCACCTTTGTCTCTAGAAATGATGATAATTGCAGTGTCCTCAGCAACTCTATCTCTGGGTAGACTGCTGGTTCCAGGGGGAAGGGATGTATTGGAAAGCCTGCATCCCCAAATGAAAAATTGGAAATGGATACATTTCCATAAATGTATTTTTTAAGAGAGCAATGATGTCAGTATATATATTAAGTCTTCGAGTCTTACAAAATACATTTATTAAGCAAACATTTGTTGAGTACCTATTAGGAGCAAGGTAAAAGAGCCATGTGCTCACAAGGATGAAAAATGTTAGTCAAGGCTTGTAATCTAGTCAATGAGATAAGATAATAATGACTCCTATGACGTTAAGGGAACTTCAGAGGCAGGATATAAGACGTTTAACTGAGAAAATTAAGGAAAGTTTTATAAAACGGGGTAGTATTTGAGCTGTACCTTGGAATAATGGGTAGAATTTAGATGACTGGGGGTTTAGACTAGGTTATCTCCAAGATATTTTTCTGCTTAAAAAGTATCTGAACACAGAAAGGGAATAAATTTTCTGGGCCCACCTGGAGACCTCAAGGGGTGTATTTGATCTCTGCTTTAGTTTCATGGGCATAGATGACATCTTCTGATTCTCAGCAGGTGACCAAGATTAAAAGTGCCAACTAAGGTAATAAATAGAAAACCTGGGTCTTTATTCTGGTAGGTTAAACTCTCATCTTTATGTCTTCATCCAGCTATACCTCAGTGCTTACTGTGTACTAGAGGCTGTTTGAAGAGTTTTACAGGGATTATTTTTACTTAATTTTCACAATAATTATATGAAATGGGTGATATATCCCCCATTTTACAGAGGAGAAAACTGAGGCACAAAAATTTAAATAAACTTGCCCAAGGACACTCAGCTAGTAGGTGAGAGCCTGTATTCAAACTCAAGCAGGTAGGCTACAGAGCCTACATTCTTTACCACTATTCTATACTGAATTTTGTAACATCTAAACAAGCTTGTAAATTTTTTTAAGGTTGTTTTGCTCTTATTTCTAATGACTTTTTCCTCACCTTTTATTAGTTTCCTTTGCTTTGAAGATAGTTTGCGGTAAGCTGAGTGTAGAATATAAATCTGTATAAGTCACCTAACAAACATGGTCTGTTTATTGTAACTACAGCAACCCCACAAACGGTGTCTGTCCCAAATAAAGTTGCAACTCCAATGTCAGTGACAAGCCAAAGATTTACGGTGCAGATTCCACCTTCTCAGTCCACACCTGTCAAACCAGGTAATGTGATTGGGAGTGGGGGACAGAATTTGTGAATAATTTGAAATTGTAGGACCGTTTGTATTCCTATAGCAAGAGGTAAATTGTTTTAATACCCAACAGGAAGGTGGCAGTAATGCTGCAAATGAGGGTTCTTCAGAGGGACCTATGAGCCCTCTAAAATTCTGTGAAATTTTACATAAAGTAGTCTCCCCCCTTATCCTTGAGGGATTGTTCCAAGACCCCCAGTTAAATTTACAACCTTTAAAGTTAAATTTATAAACTTTCTAAATTATAAGGTTTAATTTATAAATTAGGCACGGCAAGAAATTAACAATAATTAATTAACAATTACAACAACATACTGTAATAAAATATATGTGAGTGTGATCTCTCAAAGTATCTTACTGTACTGTACTCATCTATTTTTGGATCGCAGTTGACCACAAGTAGCTGAAACTGCAGATAAGGGGGGACTACTATATATGTAACGTTTTGGGGAGGAGGGAAAGAGTATTCAGTGTGTTCATCAGATTTTCAAAGAACACCGTCAGCTAAACAGTTAGGGTCCACAAATCTAAGTCGTCTTCAAGGAAAAGCAGTTAAGGTAAAAGCTCAAGAAAGCGACAAAACTTAGTGATGAATATGTGTATGCAATCCAGAACATAAATGTAAATTCAAATGAAATTGTACCTTTACTTCATAGGATACACACACACACACACACACACACACACACACACACACAGATTGGAATAAGAATTCTGTCATAGCACAGTTTACTAATGTGTATGTCTAGATTTCATATCTTCTGAAACCTAACCACACACAATAAGCAACTAACGTAAAATACTGGCCTATTAGGGAAGTGATTCCTGACCTTGAACATAGGCCTTTGTTTAATATGTTGCATGATGAATCCAGTGCAGTTTCCCATGACTAAATTGAAATTCTAGGTTGTTAAAATACAACAGAACTTCTTCAACCTTGTACTAGATATGTTTAATCTTTATCTATACATAGATCAGAACATCACATTATATCCCGTACATATACACAATTATTGGCAGGGTACAATGGCTCACACCTGTAATCCCAGCACTTTGGGAGACCGAGGCGGGAGGATCACTTGAGGCCAGGAGTTCGAGACCAGCCTGGCCAACGTGGTGAAACCCCGTCTCTACTGAAAATACAAAAATTAGCCAGGTTTGGTGGTACACGCCTATAATCCCGGCTACTTGGGAACCTGAGGCACGAGAATCACTTGAACTCAGGAGGCGGAGGTTGCAGTGAGCCAAGATCACGCCAGCTTGGACGACAGAGCGAGACACTGTCTCAAAAAAATAGTAATTTAAAAATAAATACACAATTATTATTTGCCAATTAAAAATAAAGATTTTTTAAAATTTAATTCAACTCATTGCAGTATAAGTACCTATGTTTCTTCTATGATATAGTTGCACTTCATGCTATTGAAATTGGTATTAGAATTACATTCAGCTTTGTTGTATACTTTTTATCATATGTTTCAGATTCTGGGTAATTCATAGCTTGGTTTTGGGGGGGCTTTCTTCTCTGTTTACAGTTCCTGCAACAACTGCAGTTCAAAATGTTCTGATTAATCCTTCAATGATTGGGCCCAAAAATATTCTTATTACCACCAACATGGTTTCGTCACAGAACACAGCCAATGAAGCAAACCCACTGAAGAGAAAACATGAAGATGATGATGACAATGATATTATGTAAGGAATATAGTCTAGTCTAGATGCATTTCAAAAGGAAAGTTGGTTTTGAGCCCAGTATACTGAACTAGAATATTCTAGATCTTGTTTTACCTTAAAAGACTGAAATGTAGCTGCAGTATTTTTCGTCAGTTAAAACTGTTAGATCTCTTTAGTAAACATACAAATGTGTTTTTCAGTAGGCTTCAATTACAAACAGTTAAGTACTTGTTTCTTAATAGTTTCATTAATGTTGAGTCCTAATATGGCAATTCTGTTTTTGAGACACTTTTCTGCCTTCTATCACTGATAGTAGCATTTAAGTTTCAGATTCTACAGCCTAGTCAGCAGATTTATCTTTGACAGCATAATTTCTGATCTACATTTAAATACTACTTTATTTTATAAGGTAATATAGTTACTTACTGTCACTAGCTAATTTTTTTTTTTTTACCAAATCTCTCAATATAGGAAACATTTTTTGGAAAGGATGGATTTAGAGGAGAGATTCTAAATCCATTTTGGATGTATTTGTTTCTTTGACTTCCTTAACTTCCAAACTCAACTCCCTTTCTAGATCCCATTCATTTTCTGCACCTCCCCCATAGGCTTGTTTCTCTCCATTGCTATTAAATGTAGAAGGCCATACCTGGAATTTTAAAAATATTATTCCTGGTAATACAGCTCAGTGTCATTTTCCTATTTTTAAAACATGCTCTACATGCCTAATGTTTTGTGATTCACTTTAACCTGATGGTTTGCATTTGCTGTTTTTCACTCTTATGTCAGAGCAGTTGGGTTTTACCCCTTAGTTTTTATGCCTGTTAAGCTTTACTGTGCTTTTGACAGGTAGTTTTGGGTCAGTTATATTCAGTTTTAGTATTGTATTCCAAGTTGATAACTCTTCCATGTTTCACATTTCTAAATTTAACAGAGATGCTGTAGCTTAAAACATGTTTTGATAAGTAATTACACTGGACCTAGGCAAAACCACTGAAGAACAAGTGTTCCTTTTTACCACATACATATTATGTTTTGATCACTGCTGCTTGAGCCCCGCTATTGGTATAATTCAGATCATTTTAGCTTGTTGCTGAGGATGTCACATATAAGACAGGATCAAACCTGAAAGACACTAATGGTTCATCCTCTATAAGGCCAACAAAGAAAACAAATTAATGTGATGTAACTTGCATTTATGTGCACTCTGCATAGGTTTCCCAATAATACTGTAATGTTGCTGAACACCTTTCCCTGTTTTCCATTTATACACATATTAAAGTCATATTGGGAAAGATGGCAAAGCTTTTGAGAATATAAACACACCTGTTTTGTTTTTCTTAAGTTCAACATACTTTTGTAGAATTTGTAAAATAAATGTTCGTATCATAATTGAGAATTTATAGCCAAGGATCCTCAAAACAGAAGTTTCATCTTAGGATAGTGTTTGATATATCTAAGAAAGTCCAGTAACAGAGAAGAAATGTCTCAAATGTCTCGTATCAGTTTTAGTGTTTTTCAGTATTAGGGAAAGGTAATATAAAAACAGGTAAAATGTATAAAAATAGACCTGATCAACATCATAGGAGATAAATATTCATTATATAGCATAGGATATTATTACTTGAATGTTCTCAGGGAGGCAGCAAGTCAGAAGGCCTAGGTTCTAGTCCTAGCTCCATCATTTACCAACTGTGTGACCTTACTTCACCTCTTAGCCTTGTTCTCCTCACTAGCAGTAGGAAAGTAACACCTACCCTGCCTACCTCACAGGGCTGTTGTGAGGGTTCAATTGGTATATGTGAAAATTCTTTCAGAATTGTAAAATGCTATATGACTGTAAGGAATTATTGCATTTGTTCCAAGGTTAATAAAAATTTGAGCTTATCAGTGTTTTCATTTTTTAGGATTCAAGGGAGATGAACAAAGCCCAGTAATTCTGATGGCCAAAGACCAGTAAGATTTGTTTAATGGTTATATATCAGAAAATCACTTGCTTTTATCTGGAATCAGCATGTGACACCATCATAGTGAAGCAAATTGAAAATGAGTAGAAGAATATGGGTTTAAATCTGTTGTCCTTCAGCTTCTAGGTGGAATTTTTAAAAAATAATATGTGCTGATGGTAAATGGGATGAGGACACTGTTACCTCCAGTTCTTCCTTTTATGGGTAGCAAACAAGTGTCTATGATCTGAGTACGAATATAGGAATATAGCCAGCATGGGGCGGGGTGAGAATGGAAGATGTGATGCACACTATGTTCTAAGGGATCCAAGGTGACAGGGAATATTCAAGAGGCAGGAAAGAAAACACTAATCAACTACAGAACAGCAGGTATGCCACCATTTACATTTTAATATATCTATATACAGATAGATAGATAGATAGATAGATAGATAGATAGATAGATAGGTACACACATGGGTATGCTCTTTATGCAGAGTCTCACTGTTGCCCAGGCTGGAGTGCAGTGGCGTGATCTCGGCTCACTGCGAGCTCCGCTTCCCAGGTTCACGCCATTCTCCTGCCTCAGCCTCCCGAGTAGCTGGGACTACAGGCGCCCACCATCACGCCCAGCTAATTTTTTGTATTTTTAGTAGAGACAGGGTTTCACCGTGTTAGCCAGGATGGTCTCAATCTCCTGACCTCATGACCCGCCTGCCTGGGCCTCCCAAAGTGTTGTTGGGATTACAGGCGTGAGCCACTGCGCCCGGCCTCTTAATGTATATTAAATAGCCTTAGATTGAAAGAAACTGGTCTTCCAGAGGTTGCTTCTGGGGAGGGAAACTGGTAGGTAGGGGACTGAGGAAGGTGTCTTCATTGTATACTCCTTTTTGATCATGTGTAAACCCCTGTGCTAGAGGGAAATTTTGGAAATGAAGAAAACAGGAAAACACTGAGCTAAAGAACCAAATTGTTCACTTACGACATGGGAATTATTTTTTTCTGCATATAAACACACATATATAGTCTAGGGTTAAAGGTGAATTTACAACTTAAAGCATACACCTTTGCAATATTTTACCAATAATTCATAATTCCAAATTAGAAAGCACATCCTTATACTGTTTTGTGGGGTTTTTGTTTTGAGGCAGAGTCTCACTCTGTCGCCCAAGCAGGAATGCAGTAGCGTGATCTCAGCTCACTGCAACCTCCACCTCCCGGGTTCAAGTGATTCTCCTGCCTCAGCCTTCTGAATAGCTGGGACTACAGTGGCACACGCCACCACGCCCGGCTAATTTTTGTATTTTTGGTAGAAACGGGGTTTCACCATGTTGGCCAGGCTGGTCCCAAACTCCTGACAGGTGATCTGCCCGCCTTGGCCTCCCAAAGTCCTGGGATTACAGGCGTAAGCCACCATGCCCGGCCCCTTATACTGTTCTAGCTTATATGCACACAAGTTATCTACTATCTTCTTTGGTTAGGTTAAAAATTCCTTCAGAACATAAATGCTCTTATATTCCCTCTATCACGTCTTTAAGCACATAGAAGGAACTCAAATATTTGCCTAATTGACAAGTTGTTTATGACTGGAGATTCCCCCATTCATTCTTTAGGTTAACAACCCAAATAAATGAGGGGTGATCCTGGAAACAGTCCAGTAGAAAGTACTTAAAAGGTACAGTCAGAGATTGTTGGATAGATAATGTTGGCAATTGTAGAGTCTAGGTGCTGGGTTTATGGGAGTTTATGCTTCTTTCAGTTCCATTTGAAATAATTTTTAAAACGTTGGAGGAAAGGTAATCAGTAGGAAAAAGTCACAAAAATTGGACTAGAATTCCTGAGTACCCATAGAGGTATGCAGAAACATGGTACAATTTAAAATTAACTACAAATATGGGTACAGTATTAACTAAAATACAAATGAAGAAAAAACTTGAGCTTTCAAATTTCTGTTTTGTTTAGAGCAACCACCAAAATTTTCTTTTGCTATTCTATCCAGGGTTAAACAAAATAGTCTAGAAGCATCATGTCAGGGATAGAGTCTAGAAGCATCTATAGCCTAGAAGCATCATGTCAGGGACGGAGGCACATTGGAAAAGCATCAGCCACTGGAACCAGACAAACCTGGACTTGAATCCCTGCTGTTACTTACTAGCTCTGTGGTCCTGTCCAAAAGTTTATTTCTTTGTCCCTAAAGGTGAAATACATATCTTTCCAGCACAGAATTTCTGGTCAGACATGGCTTTTTCAAATCATGTTTACCTCTGCTCTCTCCCAAAACTCCATTAAAAGGACAGGAAAGAAATAGGAAGGTAAAATTATAAAGATGATGAAAGAATCCGAATGGCCATTTAGATTCTCAATAGTGACAATGAAACAGTGGCTTCGAGTCTCAAAAAGTGATACTCAGGCTAAAATTCTATATATAGCCAAACTAGGAATCAAGTATAAGGGTCGAATAAAGACATTTTCAGACTTACAAAGTCTTAGAGATTTTGCCTCCCAGGCACCCTTTCTCAGGAAGCTAGTAGAGTCTTGTGTTCTACAAAAAGTAGACCAAGAAAGAGGGAAAAGGGGGAATCCAGAAAACAGGAGTCTAACACAGGAGGTAAAAGAAATCCCCAAGAAGGTTATAGGAAATACCAGAGCAACAGCTAGCTGTACACCCTGCCTAGAGGGCATCAAGTACAAATTGGATAAAGGAGCACTAAGGACTCCTGCAGGGATAACTCTAACAAGGATTATTCAATATGTTTTAATATATTGAGACACTTATGCTTCTAGAAGATTTGGGAATGAATCACTGATGGGTATACACAGAAAATTTTTTGAAACACTGTTAATGCCAAAGACAATAAAAGTTACATAAGTAAATTTAATCATAGCATACTACATAGCTCAGCTGTATTAGTTATGTAGACTTTTGATCTAATCTATAATTGTGACAAAACTATACCGAGAGAATGAAGAAGTGGAAATATATGTGGAACAGAGCCTTCCTCCATGGTATGAAATAGATTTCTTTAAAAAATAAAAAAAAAAGAAGTGAACAATATAAGCATATTACTTAGAAACATGGAGGTATATACCTGAAAAACTCAAGAGTTGAAAGTGGTCACCTCTGGGGAGTGGGAATCTTGAATGGGAGGAATGGGCTGGGGCTTTTTTGTTATAAGCCTTGACTTTTTAAATTATGATCATGTGTAACTGATAAAAATAAAAGTTAGAATAAAAGCACTAGCACAATGTCTGCCATAAAGTAGGCCCTTGATAAAGAATGGACATTTATCTAATTGTCCCATCTCTCCACTGCTGCTGCCCCACTTCTTGCATTCAGCAATATAGACATCTGATCCGTTCCTCAAGATTCTATTCTCACCCTTCCTAACAAAGTATGACAGGAAAAAAAAAAAAATCACGGTTTCAATGGACACTTTTATTGTTTACTTAATGGATCATCAATTTTGTCTCACTACCTACAAATGGAATTTCATCTTGTTTCCATGCTGAGTAGTGAAACAGTGACAAAGCTAATCATAATAACCTACATCAAAAGAGAACTAAGCTAACACTGCTCACTTTCTTTTTAACAGGCAAAATATAAATATATGCACTCTAGAATGCACAATGGTTTAGTCACTAAAAAATTCAAATGGGATCTTGAAGAATGTATGCAAATCCAGGGTGCAGTGAAGATGAGCTGAGATGCTGTGCAACTGTTTAAGGGTTCCTGGCACTGCATCTCTTGGCCACTAGCTGAATCTTGACATGGAAGGTTTTAGCTAATGCCAAGTGGAGATGCAGAAAATGCTAAGTTGACTTAGGGGCTGTGCACAGGAACTAAAAGGCAGGAAAGTACTAAATATTGCTGAGAGCATCCACCCCAGGAAGGACTTTACCTGTTTTTGAGAGAGCACACATACATAGACAGCATTACTATAGGGCCCAGTAAGCCAGATTTCCCCCACTTTATCTTCCCAATAACATGCCAGCTCTTTTTTAGGATATATGGCCAGGAGCTGGCCAACTTTTACATTGTGGATTCCAGGTCTACTAGACCATAACTCTCAGACCAAGTTTCTATCTGTCCCTCCCCGCCTCAGTGGATGCCAGGAGCTTTATCTGAAGTTCCTCTGTACTGCCCAGGTAGTAATGACTGCTAATGACAACACTACCTTCTAACTTTCTCCACTCCATTCTACCCACCTCTCACTGCACAGTCCACCCTTATCCCAAACAAGCCAAAAAACAGAAGACCCTCACCTTCCAGGAGCTCCAAACTGGCACCACCCCCAGTGCTCACATGGCTGACTTTATCCTCCGTGTTCCATTTGGCACAGCAAGTGGCAGTGTCTCCACCACCTGTTGAATGAAAGCCAGGTAAAAAGGGAAAAGAGAGAAAAGAAAAAAAAGGGATTGGCACCAAAACTGTAAGGCAGTGTGCTCCCCAACCCAAAAGGTAGCTGATAAACCCCCAACTCTATCTTACCAAGAGGCTCCTCTGTAAATTACCTACCTGTTTACCTCTTAACATTTACCCAGAATAAAGAGACATAGAAGAAGTTCTCCATTCCACCTTCCTCTGATCAGAATTCTGCCAGCTTATATGGGTATTAGCTTTGTATAGGACCGCTTACCTATGATGGTGATGCAGCCCCTAGAAGTGGCTTTCACCACCTCATCCATGAGAGCTTTGGTTCCCCGGGCAAAAGCTTCCCATTCAAATACCCCCACAGGACCATTCCACACAATCTGCTTAGCCCGAGTGACAGCCTCAGCATACTTCTTGCTGCTTTCAGGACCACAGTCCAAGCCCTGAGGGGTAGAGGTGAAAGAGAAGATGAGCTATCAAGAAAAGCTACTTAAACACCACCTCCACCAAGACCAGAACTCAGGGCTGCACACCAAAGTTTCTTCTAGAAACAAATAGTACCCTTCAGTCTTTATAAACCTGTTCATGCCCTTTATACTCAAAAATTCTACTGTATGGAAGATCAAGTCTAACGGAAAACCTCAAAAGTTATTTAATAAAGACATTCTTAGCCACACTATTTATGTTAGTGAAAACTAGATCAATGGTTCTCAACCAGGTCAGTTCTGCCCCTTCATAATAGATAGGCATGTGGCAATGTCTAGAAATATTGTTGTTGCAACTTGGGAGGGTGCTACTGGCATCTAGTGGCCAAGGATGCTTTAAACAACCTTACAATTCAACAGTCCCCCACAAAACAACAGATGTCAATAGTGTTGGGAATGACAGTAAACTAGATCAGTAGTACTCAAACTTTGCCATGCATGAGAATCACCAGGAGGGCTTATTCAAACAGACTGTTTGGCCCCACCCTCAGTTCCTGATTCGGTAGGTCTGGGGTGGGACCCAAGAACTTGCATTTTTAACAAGTTCCAAAAATGATACTGATACTGCTGGTCTTAGGAACATACTTTGAGAAACACTGAACTAAATAATACGTGAATGCCTGAAAAGAAAAATAAGCAAACTAGCATGTAAAAACATGATACAATTTTATACAGCAATCAAAATGATATTTGGAGCACCCTAAAATCAACTATATTAGTCTTTAATATACACTTACATTTCTCCCTGCTTGTAATCAGTATACTTAATTTTTTCATATGAGAAAGTTTTCTTATATAGCTTTCTAGATAGCAACATAATCCAAAACAACCCAAACCATGAAAGTACATGACACTATCTCCAGTACGCAGTAAGTACTTAATACACATTAAACAGATGAAGAAAAAACAGATAAAACTAAAAATGGGCCGGGCACAGTGGCTCACGCCTGTAATCCCAGCACTTTGGGAGGCCGCAGCAGGTGGATCATGAGGTCAAGAGATTGAGATCATCCTGACCAACATGGTGAAACCCCGTCTCTATGAAAAATACAAAAATTAGCTGGGCATGGTGGTGCACACCTGTAGTCCCAGCTACTGGGGAGGGTTAGGCAGGAGAATCACTTGAACCTGGGAGGCAGAGGTTGCAGTGAGCCGAGATCATGCCACTGCACTCCAGCCTGGTGACACAGCGAGACTCTGTCTCAAAAAAAAAAAAAAAAACAACAACAACAAAGTTTTGCAACACATTACTGCATTACTGAAGGCCAGTAATCCAATAGCACTGCTTTTCTCCCATGGATTCTTCCATGAGGGACTCACTGCAACATGCAGAGCCCTCTCTGACAGATCTCCTATAGAGATTGTTTTAAAATGCTTGTTGATTGGCTGAATCAATGAATAAATGACACCACAGAGTTTCTGTTCACTCACACTACCAACCCACTCAAGTGACTCACCATCCAGCCAGCAGGTATGCCAGAAGCCACAGTGGCTTGGCCAGTCTTGGCATTCTCATCAAACTTGTCAGCAGTGACAAAGTCAACAGGCAAGGTAATCTTCACACCATTCTTCTCAGCTTTGGACATTAGGTCTTTGACAATCTTGGCTCCCTCTTCATCAAACAGAGAAGTGCCAATCTACACAGGGGAGCCAAAATGATGGAGGTCAGCATCTATACTAAGAACAAGACTGCCTCACAAAGCAGACAGGAACCAGACACAATACAATATAAAGGAACAATGCAAAGACGAAAGACTTGCCAAAATAAATAAAAATGGGAATTTTCAGGGCTCATGTCAAAAGACTGTTTTCTTTTTACATTTATACAACCTGCTATTATCATGGAGAGCTATTTCACATCCACTTGGCATTTGTTTCCTACCTCCATGTTGTTGAGCACCTTAAGGAAGGTAAAAGCCATTCCACCACCAATAATCATCTCATTGACTTTGTCCAGCATATTATTGATGAGCTGGATCTTGTCTGCAACTTTAGCTCTACAAGAGAAAGCAAGAATCATCACTTAAAGAAGAATGGACTAGAGAAGTGGTATTACATAGAAACTGAGTTTCTATTTCAAGGCACAGGAACAGAGAAAGTCTCAAAGTGACAAAAGTACTGCCTAACTTTGCCCTATGTTTCTCCAACCCAAAAACTCAATCCATTTCTAAGAAATCCTTTTAAGGTATGGCTCCAGACATCAGTGTATCTTTTTAAAAATTCCTCACCCCACTTACCATCAATACATTTTTTTTTAATTCTACCTAGAAGCTGATGGACAACAGATTTAAATCCATATTCTTTTTTTAAGCAGGGCTCAGAAGACCTACTCTTGTCTAAGGAAACTATGGGTTCCACATCTATTTTGCACATTCCCCAACACACACACACACACACACACACACACACACACACACACACAAATTCAGAGCATCAAGATTGCTAATTGTATCTAAGCACGATTGCTAATTGTGGGATCCCAGAGCCACTCAGAATTATCCTAACCTTAGAGCAGGGATTGACTGGACTGTATACTAAATAAATATATACTGAACAAAAATATATATTCCTAAAGTCATACCCTATGCTCAGTTGCTGGGACATTTTTTTCTCTCTCTCTTTTCAACACAAAGTCTCACTCTGTTGCCGAGGCTGGAGTGCAGTGGTACAATCATAGCTCACTGTAACCTGGAACTCCTAGGCTCAAGCAATCCTCTTGCCTCAGCCTCTCAAGTAGCTGCGACCACAGGCGTACAACACTACCCCTGGATAATTTTTCTTTTTAAATTTTTTTGTAGAGACAAGGTCTCACTATGTTGCCCAGGCTAGTTTCAAACTCCTAAGCTCAAGTGATCCTCCTGCCTTGGCCTTCCAAAGCACTAGGGTTACATGCCTAAGCCACCATGCCCAGCCTGGGACATTTTCTTTATGGCATTTATTTTTATTGGGTCACCCAATTCAACACATTTACTGGGCACCTACTCTGTGCCAAGCACTATTCTAGGTCTTTGAGAAACATCACAGGGCAAAGGCAACAGAAAGATCCCTACCCTTTGGGATCTTATTTTCTAGTACATGGAAATAAGATAAATACACATGTATCTTGCATCTCCCTATGAGACAAAAAAGATCCAAACTAAAGAGAAACAAAGTAATAGCCTGCCTTCCATAAACATTCCCATATAACTAAATCCCACTTACGTGGACAAACCACCTTGTGTCTGTTTCCTTCTTCATTCAATAAACAAGATAATGCCTATCCAGTGAGAAACCCTATGCTAGGATTTGTGAAAAGGAGGTATGAAACAACAGTGATGTGGGTGAACAGATGGCAAGAAACTATTTACTATTTATTTCAGTTGTAAAGATTGGTTACCACCAAGGGTAAAGATAGATTGTTTTAAATACACACACACACACACACACACATACACACACAAAGGGAAGAAAGCAGTTAGAAAGGAGTTCAATTTCTTCTAAAGAATAGCTTACAGCTCAAATGCCTGTTTCTTCAACAAATCAACAGAATGAAAGTAATAAATAGGAGATTATTACAAGAGATACCTAACAGCCAAAGGCAATGCATGGACTTCATTTGAATCCTTATTCAAACAAACCAACTGTAAAAAGACACTTCTGAGATGATCAAGAACATCTGAATACAGATTGGGTATTGGATGATAGTAACAAAACTGCTAAATTTGTTAGGTATAATATGGTGATTATTTAAAAGAAATCTGCTTAGCAGTTACAAGATGTATACAGGAGTATTACAGGTTGAGTATCCCTAATCCAAAAATCTAAAATCCTCCAAGATCAAAACTGTTTGAGCTCAAAGGAAATATCATTGGAACATTTCAGATTTCATATTTTCAGATTAGGATGCTCAACTGGTAAGTACCATGCAAATATTCCAAAATCCAAAAATAAATCTGAAATCCAAAACATTTATGGTCCCAAGCATTTCAGATAAAAGATACTCAACCTATGTAAGTGAAAGTATATGATGTCTAAGGCTAACTTAAAAACATTCCTGACAGCAGGGCACAAGCTCACGCCTGTAATCTCAACACTTTGGGAGACCAAGGCAGGCAGATCGCCTGAGCCCCAGAGTTCGAGACCAGCCTGGGCAACACAGTGAGACCCTGTCTCTACAAAAAGATTCAAAAATTAGCCAGGCATGGTGATGCATGCCTGTAGTCCCAGGTACTAGGGAGGCTGAGGTGGGAGGATCGCTTGAGCCTGGAAGGTCAAAGCTGCAGTGAGCTGTGATCATGCCACTGCACTTCAGCCTGGGCAGCAGAGTGAGACCCTGTATCAGAAAAAAAAAAATCTATATATAGATCTAGATCTAGATATATAGATATGTCTATATATCTAAAATATCTATATATGTACACACACACACACACATATATACACATATTTATTTCACTTGTATTCACTTTGTCAGGAATATATACGTGTGTGTGTGTATATATATGTGTGTGTGTGTGTGTGTACATTCCTGACAAAACAGAGTTAGGACATAAAAGAAACAAGATTAGCAAAACTGTCAATTAATTGTTGAAACAGGGTAATGGATACCTGGGAGTTTACTACACTATTCTCTCAACTTCCATACATATGAGTGTTTCTTACAATAAAGTTTGTTTAATAAAATATAAAAGTTTTCCCAAAAACTGTTAATGGCCTAGGGAAACTACACTACAAGAAAGGTGGCAAAAAAATCTCACATCCAATTCCCCGTAACAGCTATTTCAGTCTGAACCTAAAAACCTAACCATAAGGTAGCACTAGGTGGCACTCACTCCCATATTCCAGGTCTACAGAAAGTTGAAGAACAAAGCCCAGGAATAGATACCTTTTTCCAAGAACAAGACACAACAACCTGTATCTACCTGAGTTATTTTTAAGACTCTGAAACTGGGCTCATAAAGCCTAGAAAGCAACTGTATTAGCCCATTTTCACAATGCTATAAAGGACTACCTGAGACTTGGTAATTTATAAAGAAAGGTTAAATTGACTCACAGTTCCGCATGGCTGGAGAGGCCTCAGGAAATTTACAATCGTGGCGGAAGGCAAAGGGGAAGCAAGTCACATCTTACATGGTGGCAAGAGAGAGGCGAGCGAGGGTGGAACTGCCAAACAACACTATCACAAGAACAGTATGGGGTGAACCGCCCCCTTGATCCAATCACCAGGTCCCTCCCACAACACGTGGGGATAATTCGAGATGAGATTTGGGTGGAGACACAGAGCCAAACAGTATAAGCAACTATGCTACCTGAAATTGACACCCAACTCCAGAGTCAATTTTCATCAGGAGATAGTATGTTCACTCCCCTGGGGGAAAAAACCCTGCTCATAGAAGGGTAATGGGCCTCCAGCCATAAAGAGACTGCTACCTAGATCACCACACCAAGTCACAGGAAATTGTCTTATCCAAGCAGTGCTAGCTCTCTCACCTAAAATTTATCCTCCTCTCAACCCTCAATTCTGAAATTTCTATTTTTAACTAACCCATTGGAAAATCATTATCTACTTGCTGCCTTTCCCTATAGGAGAAAAGATAAAATAGGTATGTAATCTGGAGAAATGAGGTCTAAATTATATATTAAACACATATGAAGAGGTTTTCATAGTTATACCCTGCCAGGTTATATGGTTATACCCTGCCAGATTATATGGTTATACCCTGCCAGATTATATGGTTATACCCTGCCAGGTTATATAGTTATACCCTGCCAGGTTATAAGGCTCAAGCACTTCAAAATTGCTAAATGAGCACCTATGGTGGATCTTTCCCATTCTTCCCTGCAGAGCCATCTTCTATCCTTCTCTACCCTGTTGCATCACAGGAGGAGGACCTGCATGGACTACATCAAGGAGCTTTCTTGCGCTCTGGCTTCCATTTGGGTTTCAGCCAAATTGAGGGTGGGAGGGGGTGCAGCAGCAGGAGACTGAAAGGAGATCAGAATATTTATTGCCCTGGCTCCCCCTCCCTACCAGATCTTGTGTCCTTTGACCAAAGGCTACAGTTCCCATCAGATAGCTCTCTCCACACCAACTTTCCTCTCTGAATTCTGATAACCATTCCCCTCCCTTTGTCCCTTCAGGCATAGAAATGGTGATGCCTGTTGGTAGCCCCAAATTACTGTACTGTCCCTTTGTGGTTTCCCTGAACCCTACCCACACCTCTGTATGTAGTTCGTTCGTTTGTTTGTTTATTTATTTATTTATTTATTTATTTAGAAACGGTCTTGCTCTGTCACCCAGGCTGGAGTGCAGTGGCGTGATCACAGTGCACTGCAGCCTCTACCTCCCAGGCTCAAGTGATCCTCCCACCTCAGCCTCTCTGGTAACTGGGACCACAGGTGCATACCACCACCGCCCAGCTAATTTTTTTTTGTAGACATGAGATCTCACTTTGTTGTCTGGGCCCATCTCAAACTCCTGGGCTCAAGCAATCTTCCTGCCTGGGCCCTCCCAATGTGCTGGGATTACAGGTGTGAGCCACCATGCCCAGCCTGTAGTTCCTTTATTAAATTCTCCTCAGTTACCCAGTGTGACTGAGCTATATGACAATAAACCACCCAAGTTATGGCCTACTACCAGGCAAACAATACTTAAAGCATGATCTTAAAGAGTTCTTCATACCCGCCCAGGATGGCCAGGAAGGGTCGCTCTGGGCTCTCCAAGGCCTTTGCAAAGTAGTTCAGCTCCTTCTTCATCAAAAACCCACCAGCCTTCTGTGGCAGATTGACTCCTACCATGGAGCTAGAAAAGATCAAAGACATTCAGATTCTAGTCAATCCCTATCATTCCTCCTAGTCCTAGAGGCCAGCTCCTTATCACTAAAATATTTCTACTTCTGGACTGCAAGAAATCATGGTTTTCATCCCTACATTGCAACAAAAAACACTTAGGTACAAGATAAGATTTTTAACTAATAGTGCAAGGTCAAAGGGAAAGAGTAAAAAAGTAATGAACTTAGGTAGAATTTAAGATACCCAGTTAACACTCTTCAGGCAGGCCAAAGGGCAAATCACAGTAAGTAATTGGCCGGTTGATGATAGCAGAAGAGGATTCCTCAATTTGCTTCCTACTGACAGCATGAGAGTCTGATCTTATAACGTTCATAAAAGGATAACTCTGTACAAAATATCTAAGGTGAGAAAGAGCAACCTCTTCCTGAAACTCCACAAAAAGCCCTACAATTACCAACATTTTTTTACCTTTATTTCCTCTTTGGATGAGAGCTACTCAACAAGAGCCATAGTGGCAGTTCCAATTAGAGAAGCTGAAAGGATTACAGTATAATACAAAACTCTCCAAAAACAACCCAGAGCTTGGGCTACTCAAGTAAATAGGAATACTGTTCTCAGTGTGGTAGTCTACAAGGTTCTTGGTACCTGTGGGCTCTGTGAGCAGTGCCAAAAGCATCATTGACATAGACATCCCCTAGCTTGGAAAGTGAAGCTCGGAAAGCTTCTATTTTGGCTGGCTCGGCTTTAACCTATAGAGAAAAACAAAAACAGAAAATGTGATGGCTCCAAAGACAACTATAAAAGCATTTCATACACCAAGAGTCCTCTTGAACATCTCTAAAGACCCTGAGTAGGTGGGACAGCGATTTTTTACAACCAGCAGTAGGATGTGTTCTTTCTTCCAAATATTCCAGATACTTTGGTCATTTCTGCATGTTTCTGCTCTCCCTTAACTTCCCTCAAATTGCAAACCTAATATTCCTGAACGATGGCTTTACCTCTAATCACATGAAGTTAACCACACCCCACTAGCCTCTCCCCAGCCTTCAGCTCAAGGTTCTGATTATCCTTCCCTCTCCTTGACTTAGTTCCTCATTTTAAACATTCTCCTTGTGATAGTATCATACTTGACTCAAGCTGCTGGCTACCAAGGCCTTTCTGCGAAGTGCAAGGGGCTCTCACACATATTCCTCATAAAAGCAACAAGGGCAAGCTGGGACAGAGAAGGCAGATGGAAACATGACAACAGAAAAGAACCTCAGAAACACTTCACATTGACAAAAAGGTATTTTATGACCTTCTCTGGAAGCTAGGCATCTGAGAAAACAAGAAATATACTTCTACAAAAAGAGAGGAAGAAAATGTAGAAGTTAAACATAGAGCTTTAAAATGTCAGCTTGCCATCAAGGCATACCCCAAAGGGGACAGAAAGCAAGATGGGAGGATAAGCAAACCAGAGAGTCTCTGGCAGGAGATTAAGCAAAGAGGCACAGGAAGCAAGCCAGATGAAAGGGGACAGGACACAGAAGAGTACATAGCACAAAGCAGATGTTCATTTTAAGTCACTGCCCACTCCTATGCTCCTATGTATCAAGGAGGTGAAGGGGACTGCCATAAAAAATGGGGCTTTTCCCTAAAGATCCAAAGAATTGCAGAGGCACTAATGCTAAAATTGAAGATTGTGGCACTCCCATAAGCTCTGTAGACTACAATAACATCTGCCACTAGTGATTGGAAGATGACACATGTAGTAATGATAACAATGCTCAAATGTAAGGAGACCTGAGTTCTATGTCCAGCTCTGACACTAATTCATTGTGTCACCTTTGGGAAGTTGCTCTGAAATTTTCCCTTCTATCAAAAAGGCATAATAACCCCTCCATTTACGAACTATTTAAGGAGGCCAGGGGCAGTAGCTCACACCTATAATCCCAACACTTTGGGAGGCCAATATGGGAGGATCACTTAAGCCCAGGAGTTCGAGATGAGCCTGGGCAACATAGCAAGACCCCGTCTCTACCAGGAAAAAAAAAAAAAAGTAAAGGTCAGTTGGACATGGTGGTATGTGCCTGTAGTCCTAGCTCCCTACAAGGATGAGGCAGGAGGATCACTTCAGCCCTCAAGTTTGAGGCTGCAATAATTAATGTCATGCCACTGCACTCCACCATGGGCAACAGAACAAGACCCTGTCTCTTTAAAAAGATATTTAAGGAAAAACAGGGTAAATTGAAAGCTCTTCATGAAAAAAGGTGCCATGGAAATAATATCAATCAGAACCCATTTCTCATTTACTGATCTGCAAATAACTAGAAGAAAGAGAAGGCCCTTAAAAGATCAATGTGGGCACTTTGGATAAAGGGAAAATGTTTATGTCCTCATATCCTCACTTTGTTTTTGTGGTTTTTTTGAGACAGAGTCTTGCTCTGTTGCCCAGGCTGGAATGCAGTGCTGCAAACTTGGCTCACTGCAACCTCCACATCCTGGGTTCAAGCAATTCTCCTGCCTCAGCCTCCGGAGTAGCTGGAATTACAGGCACTTGCCACCATGCCCGACTTTTTTGTATTTTTAGTAGAAACAGGGTTTCACCATGTTGGCCAGGCAGGTCTCGAACTCCTGACCTTGTGATCCACCCACCTCGGCCTCCCAAAGCGCTGGGATTACAGGCATGAGGCACCGCACCCAGCCTCACTGTTTTTTTAATCCATTTTGAACTTGGGACTGACTCCTGAAATTTCAGGTATTAAAAGCCATTAGATAGTGAATGTCAAGTCAGTTTACTAAAAAAGTCATAGACTACATAGTCAGCTCATCATTTCCTAAATAAAAAGTTTTGCTTCAATATGCCCTTTGCCTCCTGCCACTTCTAAGCCCTAGAGTTCATGCATCATGAGTTCCAGATTAAAAGGACACCAAATTTTAGGTCAGCATTTGACTCCTAATACTGCAGCAAGACCATGCCAAAAGCAGGATAAGGCAAGACCAGCATCTTTGGTGCTAAAAAAAGAAACTGCTTGAAAGCAGGCACTCCCAATGACCTTAATAAATGTGAGAAGCCAAAGGAGACTGAGACACTAGACTCAGAGCATCTTGTTCTCCGAGATACTAAAGACCAGAATAGTGGAAAGTACTAAAAAATGCCTTCAGCTTCCTTTCTAGTCAATGGGCAAATTCAAAATCATCTGCAAAGAGCCAGTTTTATCATTGAATATTTGAATTCTGGTTGTCAGTTCACAGTAATCTGTTTGGTGAGTTATCTATGGCTGCTTTTGCACAACATCGGCAGAGGTGAGTAGTTCCAACAGAGACTATATGCAGATGGAAGTGACTGCACAACACAGAAAGCCTAAAATATTAACTATCTGGCCATTTATAGAAAAAGTTTGCTGATTGAATGGGCTGAGCTCTAAAGACCAACAGCACCACTGCCTCTAACTTTAATCGTATGACTGCCTTTCAGAAACTTAAGTTTTTTTTTTTTTGAGACTTAGTTTCTTTATGAAATAAGTCGATACCTGTACCTCTATCTTAAAGAGAGATTTAAAGGAACATACTTTACACATCTTAAGAAAATGCCTTAAATCCAAGGTGACATCATCATGACCATCATATTCACTGAATACTCTTTCACCTCAAAGGTGTTCACATATTTTTCAAACATATTTAAACACCACCTGAACATGAAGGAGGGCTTCTGGGATGCTGGTAATATTCTATTCCTTGACCTGGGTGGTGGTTACACAAGTGTGTTTACTTTGAGATAACCCATCAAGCTGTGTCGGCATTGTATGCTTCAATAAAAGGTGTCTAAGTTAAAATAAATGAGCTTTCTCTATTCTTCAACCACAGTCTCTTACAGACTCAGGCCCTCACCCCCAATAATGTCAAAATCACAGGTCCTACCTTGTTCCCAGAAGCATCTTTTCCCTTCCCTTCTTCCTCCACATGAAAGCGGAGGTTCTCCAGCAGGATGACAGACCCAGCAGCTGGGTTGGCACAGGCTTTCTCCACTTCTGGGCCTACACAGTCCTTCAAGAACAGAACATCCCTGAGAAGAGGAAGAGATGAAGACACTTGAGCAGTATGAAAGTTAAAAACCAGTAACAACGTGCTTGACAACTTCCCCCGCCACAAAGTCTACCAGCACCAGAGCCTGGCACTTACTTGCCCAGCAGAGATTTGAGTTCTACAGCAACTGGCTCTAAGGAGTACTTGTCAGGCATGGGCACACCATCAGGCCGGCCTAGGTGGCTCATAAGGACTACCGACTTGGCTCCATTGTCCAAGCAGAATTTGATGCTTGGGACAGCAGCCTTAATCCTGCAACCAAAGAGAGACAACAAACAGAATGAAGTTACTCCTAGAAATTAGTGGGAACTAGCTTATTGATAACCTCATAAAGCATAAAGCTCCTTTTCTTCTCCAAGTTCCTTCAAATCTACTATCAGTAATTCAATGGTGGTCCTTAAGAAGTTAAATGCAATGCCAACCCTCCACCTAGGATTGTACAATCTCATTATGTATCTGCCCCTTTCACAGACAAGAGTTAACACAGCAGGCCTGAGGCTACTATCTACAGAAGGACCTGTCTGCAAGATTAGATCCTGGCTGGTATCTGGGAACTTGGCTTTCAAAGTTAACTGACAAGACCAACAAGGGCTATTCACTCTTCCTAGACCGTCTATACAAACATGGTGATTTATGCTGAACACCTGCCCCACTCTAGAAGTCTAGAATTTTTTTTTTCTTTTCCTTTTTTTGTTGAGACAGGGTCTCACTCTGTCACCCAACAGGCTGGAGTGGAGAGGCACAATCTCAGCTCACTGCAGCTTCAACCTCCCCAGGGGCTTAGGTCATCTTCCTACCTCAGCCTCCCAAGTAGCTGGAACTACAGGAATGCACCACCATGCCCAGCTAATTTTTGTATTTTTTGTAGGGGTTTTACCATGTTGTCCAGGCTGGTCTTGAACTCCTGGGCTCAAGTTATCTGCAGGCCTCAGCCTCCCAAACTGCTGGGAATACAGGCGTGAGCCACCACACCCAGCAGAAGTTTGTAATTTTGGTAGTTGCTAGGCAGAGGATCCCTATGTTACCAGTTCCCAACAAAAATCTTGGGATCTGAGTCTCTAGCATGCTTCTCCAGGCAGAAACACTGCAGACAATTACTGCATTTTTCACTGCTGAAGAAAGGAAAACACTTGATGTGTCCCCTCACAGGAAACTGGAAGCCCATGGATTTCTCTAGACTCCCCCATGTCTTTTCCTCTTCCTAATCTTGTCATGCATTCTTTCACTGTAATAAACTTTAGCCATGAGAACAACTCTGAGTCCTAGCAAATCATCATGAGATATGTGGGTGATCTTGGGGACCCCTGAAAACACTTCTTATATGACTATGGAAAATACATAAAATTCTCAAATCTTGAAACCATCAAAGGAAATTTGGGGAAAAATAAAAAACATGTAGTAACTTTTCTGCACCTATTAATAGATCCTAAGTCACTTTTTTATGTAGGAAAAAATAATTGCACTGTCTAGAGCTTGGTTTCCATAATGTATCACATTCATTACATTATAAATTAATCAAAAAATTAACTCCCTTTAAACATTTAAAAGTTTTGTTATAAACCTGCTACTAACTTGCCATTTTGCCAGTTTATAAGAAATTAAAATTGATCAAGAAAAGCATTTATTTATTCATCAAATATTTATTGAATGCTTCTTTTGTGCCAGGCATCATTCCAGGTTCTGAGAATGAAACAGAAAACTTTTTTAAAAACTCTCTGTTCTCATGGAAGTGAAATTCTAATGGAGAGAGACAATAAACATGTATGTGTGTGTGCGTACATGTAATATATCAGATGGTGAGATACAGAAAAAAAACAAACCATTGTTCCCCATTTTTGTTCCCCTACTTTTGAGGACAAAAATGACCGGGGAACAATGGTAGAGGAGATTTTTAGACAGGATGGCCAGGGAAAGTCTGATATGATGACATCTGAGCAAAGAATGGAATGATTAAAAAAGTTATACTTTTAAAATATCTTATGTTATTAATATTTAGCAGATATAAGAACTCCTTTATATCAAATTTAAAAATCTGTATCAGGTACAAAGTTTGTGCAATGGAACCAATTAGTTTTCAGGACTATCCCTTATCAGCAAGTTTTATTATTTCTAATGCTTCATTTTGTTAATCAACTCCATGGATTTCCGGAAATGAAAAGATTTCCAAACATGTTTCTTTACTCTTAAAATAACTTGATAGGCATATTTCCAATCGTTTCTGTGTGTTGCACAATAATGAAGATCAAGCGGGATCAGATCTGCCTTATACAAAGACCCTGCCACTATGGTACAGCAGGGATGTGCTTGGCAAAATGACAGGCTCTATTCTAGGACCAATACCTGAAAATGTTCTGGGCTAGACCTGCACTGTCCATTACGACAGTCATTTAGTCATGTGTGTCTGTTGAGTACCAGATATATAACTAGATCAAATTGAGATGTGCTGTAGTATAAAAACACATGCCAGATCTTGAAGACTTAGTACCAAAAAAGTTAAATGTCCCTTTAATTTAATTAACACAATTTGGCTCACATTGTATTTCTATTAGATACCACTGGTCTAGATCATTAGAAAGCACCTTGCCAACACAAACCCTTCATTTAAAATTTAAAATAGGCGGAGCACAGTGACTCATGCCTGTATTCCCAGCACTTTGGGAGGCCAAGGTGGGCGGGGTCCAGGAGCTCAAGGCCAGCTTGGGCAAAAGGGCAAAACGCTGTCTCTACAAAAAAAATATGAAAAAGTAGCCAGGTGTGGTGGCCCACGCCTGTGGTCTCAGCTCCCTGGGAGGCTGAGATGGGAGGATCGCTTGAGCCCAGGAGGCAGAGATTGCAGTGAGCCAAGATCGTGCCACTGCACTCCAGCCTGGGCGACAGAACGAGGCCCTGTCTCAAAAAAAAAAAAAAATTAAATAAAAACCTTCTTGATGGATACCCCATTTAACCTGATGTGATTATGTATTGCATGCTTTTATCAAAATATCTCATGTAACCCATATATATATATATATAAAATCTACAAAAATTAAAAATTAAAAAAATTAAAAAGAAAGTAAAGACAAAAATAAAGACCTTTTATAATCTAGTCAAAAGCAAGAGCAGTACTCTCACTTAAAATTTGTTTCTGAATCTAGGATCCAAGACACTGGAGCAGCTAAACTGACTGAAAACGTACTTCTGAAGTCTTTCCTGTTTGTTTTTTTGGAAGCAAAAACAAATGAAAATTCTCAAAAATTGACTTATCTGAGCCATTTGAATGGGGGCTTGTAAAACTACATATAACCTTAGTAACTACTGGTACTTTTAAAATCCTTCTCTTACATAGTTCTTCATTTTGCAAGAGAAGCCAAGTAACCTTAAATTTTTATATTTTTTGTGTGTGTTTTATAGAGATGGTGTCTTACTATATTGGCCAGGCTGTTCTCGAACTACTGGCCTCAAGCAATCCTCCTGCCTCGGCCTTCCAAAGTGCTGGGATTACAGATGTGAGCCACCGCACCCAGCCAACTTTTATATTCTTTAAAAATGAATAACTCTGCCAGGTATGGGGGCTTACACCTGTGGTCCCAGCACTTTAGGAAGCCAAGGCAGGAGGATCACTTGAGTCCAGGAGTTTGAGAACAGCCTAGGCAACATAGTGAGACCCCATCTCTACAAAAAAAAATTTTTTTTTAATTTAACCAGGTGTAGTGGTGTGCACCTGTTGTTCCAGCTCCTCGGGAAGCTGAGGCCAGAGGACTGCTTGAGCCCAGAAGGTTAAGGCTGCAGTGAACCGTGATCACACCACTACACTCCAGTCTGGGTGACAGAGTGAGACCCTATCTCAAAAAAAGAAAATGAACTCCAAATTCTTCTAATTTTCAAAAAACAAGGGAAGGGGAATCACTTTCTTAAGATTTTGCTTATATTTGTATATTCTCATAAATAAGAAAGCAGATCAGAGAGTGGGTTGATAGAAAGCCAAAATCATTTGTTTTAAGTTGCTACAGTTCCATAATACAATATGAAAGGAAAAACATTTCATCCTGTGTACCTACACACATCTTAAACCCAGCCCAAGGATTAGCAGGGACCTTACCTCTGGTTGTTTGTTATCTGGTTGTTCTTCATAGGAACATTGAAGTCGACTCTAAAAAAGAAAGATGCAAGACCATGATCAACTTACTGTTCCATCAAAGACTAGGAGATGCATTTTTAATGAACCAGTTAAATAAGTCAGAAATTCAAATCTCATCTTAAAAATAATCAGTGGCATTAAAAGTCAAAATAGTGGTTAGTCATGGGGAGGATGGCGGGAGTGGTGACTGGGATAACGACACCAGAGGCTTTGGGGTTCTGGTAATGTTCTATCTCTTAACCTCAGTGACCATACAAATGTGCTCATTTTGTGGTAATTCTTTGAACTTGTGATTTGTGCCCTTTTAGGTATGTATTCATACTTTAAAAAGAATTTTAAAAAAAAAACCTAACTTAAATCACAGGAACTAGCCCTGAAGATCTGGGAAGCTAAAGCTAGTTCCACCTAAAAAGATATCTGTCTGGGCCTGGCACAATAGTATCCGGGTAGCAGCTAGAGGGGTGAGGAATAATAAGGAATGCATCTTGATCCTAATTCCCTTGATACTATTTCTGGGTCCTCGTGAAACTAACATGACTCGAGAAAAAAATTAAAATAAAAATAAAACACACTAAGAGAAAATCATTCTTTTTGGAGAAAGCCTGGGGCCTTAAGACTAGGGGTCCTTCAAGCAATACACACAACATAAGACAGCCTCTTTCAAAAAGCCTGAGAAGAGAGGGTGGGACATGTGCCCCAGCCCACCTGACAAACAGGCAAATTAGAAGGGAAGTAATCAAGACGACACAAGAAAATAATGTACTGCAGTATCTCTTACCCAACAGATTACTATGTTATCATTCTTAAGAACCAATTATTCTGAACTCCTTGGAACCTCAGCCTACTTCAATGTGAATGAAAACAATAATGTATGGCAGCTATTTTTAAGGTTTAAGAGTTGTGCCTGCCATGATTATTTTTAAGTGATTTTTTTCTCATCGGGATGACAGTATCTACCTCGTAGTTACTGAGAGAATTAGTAAGTCAGCAATTTGTAAAGTGCTTAGAAGTGTACCTGACACACAGTAAATGCCATAAAAGTGTTGTTGTTATATGTTTCTCCAAAATGTAATTCTGTGATTTGACAAGTAAATCAACCACTACTAAAAACAGCTAACATCACTTGCAAAGGGACTACAGTGAAGTATGACCTAATCAAGAAGACTGCTGCTATCCTTGATTATAAGCCTCCATCTTTTTCCTCTGCCTTTTTAAATACCCCTTCCTCTCTAAGGCTAAGGCAATTACAAACTCCTACAGACATACTGAGAAGACCACCAATTTCCTATATCCACTAGGCCTGAACTCCAATCTACCTCACTGAAGAACAGCCTTTCCAAAGGTAGGCTGAGGAAAAATAATTCTATAGTAAAACATGTTTTAAAGTCTTCAAAATTAAAGGCAGTAAGCCTCTGATGAAAGAAATACACTCTACTTTGTTTCAGGCCACTTGATTCTCTGTCTTCTTTAAATATCCTGAACAAGGAGCCTGCCAGCCTTAAAGTACATTCCAAAGAAGAGAGAATATCCCATTACCATGGGTCATTTTCCCCCATGCAACCTCCCAGAAGGCCTATGCTCAAAAGGACTAATGGCAAAAGGATGGGCACAAGCCACTTCTTGCAGTGCTACTCTCTACCCCCAACCCTTACAGGGAGGAATATCTTTGGACAGAGACACCTAAGAAACTGTCTCATCTATCCAAGCTGCCATGGTGTCAGCTTACTAATGAATTAGACTTGGTTGATACTCTCTCCTCAATGCCCTCTGGATTACCTCCCCTTATCTCCTACACTCACAACAGCTCTGCTTTTAGCTTCTCCTCAGAGGACTCCAACACAGGAACTGCTCTTGCCTACAGATTCTACTTGTTCCATTTTACATAAAATATGCACAATTTTCTTTTTTTTTTTTTTCGTTTCCTTATAACACCCCTGAGCTTTGCTTCAGGCACAAAGTCAGTTATTACTACATATCCATCAGAACGAAAAATAACTAAAATAGCTGGTAATGAAGCAGAGAAACTGATTACTCAAATACTGCTGGTAGAAATGTGAAATGCTGCAGCCACCTTGGAAAACAGTCTGGGGATACCTCAAAAGGACGTGGCCCAGCAATTCCACTCCTAGGTGTTTACCCATGAAAAATGACAGCGTATGTCCATACCAAGACTTGTATACAAATGTTCACAGCAGCTGTATTTGTAATAGCCCCAAATCAGAAACAACCCTAATATCCTTCAATGATAGTTAAACAAACTATAATACAACCACACCATGGAATACTACTCAGCAATACACAGGTATGAACTTTTGATACATGTGACAATGTGGATAAATTTTGAGGACATTATGCTAAGTGAAAAAAGTTAATCCCAAAAGGTTATATACCATGTGATTCAATCTGTATAGTATTTTTGAAGTGACAAAATTTTAGAAACAGTGGACAGATCAGTAGTTACCAGGAGTCAGGAAGGGGGGTGGTTATTATTATAAAGAGGTAGCATGAAGGAGATCTTGGTGGTGATCTAATAGTTCTGTATCTTGATTGTGGTGGCGGTTACACAAATCTACGCACGTAATAAAATGGCATAGAACCATACACACTTTATACCAATGTCAATTTCCTACTTTTGATATTGTTCTATAATTAGGTAAGATGCATCCATTGGGGGAAAATGGGTTGAACACAAGACCTCTCTAACTTTGTAACCTCCCATGAATCTTTATTTCAAAATAAAACATTAAAAAATATACTGATTTAGCTGGAATAAGAATATCAAGTCTCTATCACCTGAAATCTCAGGTCCCAGGTCCAGTTCCATTAAAAACTCTCAAAGGAACCATGTCCATCAATGCTTCACTGCCCCAGATGGAAAACTGGGATATTGTGGGTGTCTTAGTGACTTTTTCTCTGCTCTCAATTTTTTCCTGTTTCTCTTCCCACTACATCAAAGCAGTTTCTTTACAAGTTACAAGTTGGAGAAAACCAGTAAGGTTTAAAAAAAAAGGCAGGAGCAAGCAAAAAGGAAGTGCTTTACAAGCAGGCAAAGGATGACTGGCAACCTATGAGAGAAAGAAAGGAAATTACCACAAAAATAAGCAGAAGTGTATTCAAAGAGGCTGTAAAGTCAACTGCGGAGTCCTAAAAAACTAAGATGGAACCTGGTAATTAACAAGTCAGAGGTTTCTGGCTATCCCATGTTACCTCAACAAATCAATTTCCCTTGGCAATCCAAACCAGTGGACCAGAAGAGTCAGCAAATACCATAGTTCACTTCTGCAGGACAAAGACGACAAATGAGGCAGCCACTACTCAGGAAGCCCCATTCCGGAAACACCGCCAGCAACCACCACGTTGAAACAAAAAGGAATTGAGCTGACACCACATGGCTGCCTAAGCACCTCCAAAAAAGTAGGCCTACAATGTGACTCTCTGTTCAAAAGAAATACATTAATAATCAGGGAACCATGTAACTTCCTGTCCTCAGCCTAAATAAGTAGAAGGTATCCAGGTTACGGGAGAAAGTTCTATTTCAACGTATCCTTGGTCATTGTCTCGAATATTCAGAGGATCTAGTTGATAGCCAAGGAGACCTAAATTCTACTCCTAGCTCTGCCACCAACTTGGTAGTTCAGTAACCCTGAACAGGTCATTTTCCATCAGCAAAACAGGACTAGCCAATCATTTCAAGGCTTTGGGTTAGCGTGTGCTAAATGAAACTTTATTAGGTCCAGAGGGAGAAAAGTTAAGCAGCTCCTCCAATCCCGCCCCCAGCTAGCTTCCTCAAGCCAGTTTCCCTAGAGAGAGAGGAAATAAAGCCCAAGACTGCAATTACAGGAAGGTTATCAGCATAATGTCCCACTCCTTGTCTGTTAGTTGGTCCATGCATCTGGAAGAATCAGCGTCGAACACAGGGGAGATGCAAGGAACTAATTAAAACCTAAAAGCTAGTTGCATGCCAATGTCCACCTGTCCTGTTTTTTACAGGGTCTATCCCCTTTTTTTAGGATTGTATGAGGGCCAGAAAGGGCACTCCTCTAGTACTAACATGGCTGTGACTCCTACTTTGTCCAGATTACAAAGGCCTATGTCATTTGGGGAAATGTGGAAACCAGGTATTTTTCATGGACATAAATTATTGGGTTCTTCTATCTCCACAGCAGGGCAGCGGTTACCTGCAAAAATATTGACCAAAGTGAAATTAGAGAGAAGAGGAGAGCTACATGTCCTTTTAGGGTACCCATACAGTTCCCTAACTCAAACGTGTCCTCATATGTTTAAAGTTAGAGTAAAGGGAGATCTCCTACTGACTTACGTGTCTGTTAATATCCAACACAAGCCCTCATTTGAACCAGCCCAAATTGGAAAAGGGGCTAGATTACACCAGCCAAATAAATACCTACCCATCAATCAACCACTTCCCAAAAAGGTCAAGGTTGCAAAATGCTATCAACAGAAACCTTTATGACCCCTCAAAAACACCACTCTTGGATCCTGTTAAGGTATATGAACAGTCAAGTCCATCAGTTACATACCGACTCATCCTCCTGCACCTTGCTCCTGGTATGCACAAATATATCACACGTGACAAAAAGGATAAATGTAAAAGCTGCCCACTCTACCAACAATTCTGGCAGATAAGAGAGAAACCGTGTTGGCAAGTGACTAGAGATCCACATGCGCAGAGTAAGAGACCCAAAGTGCACGAGGAAACTTCCCCCAATTTTAAAATTCTACTTTTCTAGCCACACGTGGGGATGAGATTGGAGGCCAGCAAGTATGAGCAGCCACACCCTGCTCTACCATTACCTAGTATGTCACAATCCTGATGCAAATCCTGTGCCCAAGAGTCCAACGATACCGCGCTGCAGGGCAGCAGACGCCTGTTACGTAAGCTCTGCAGGGCCTCCTCCAGTTCGCCCCGCCCTACCCTCCCACCCCAATTCTTTAGTGGCGGGGGGCGGGGGGGTCTACTCCTGAAGTTAAATCAACATCCTCTTGGAAAAATATCCTTTTGTGCAGGAACCTGTGAGATGTGGGCCGTTTCTCATTTGGCTGCGACGGTCTAGGAGCGTGGGGGAAGGGAAAGTAAAATGACCTTTCAAGGTCCCTTCCTTGAAGCCTAGAGATTTGCAGGATAAGCATTAAGTCCCATCTCGCCGACTGGGAGCTGGAGGCAACGGAACTGCATTTCACCAATAGGAAAAAGGACAAAATGGGTCCCAGCGGCAATCTCAGCCCTTCCTCAGTGGGATCCATCCCCGAAGGGTGACTTCGGGTGCTTTCTGGGCTGGGGAAAATGCGGCTAGAAACCACCAAACCCGTGAGCAGCCTCGCCCTCCAAGCCTAGGACCCCTGGGGCCCAGCCAAAAGCTAAAAGAACTTAGAGCAGACGAGAGAACAAGTCGGCTCCGGCCAAAGAGGTTTGCGACAGAGCACAGAGAGCACGCGGGCAAACGTGCAGAATTACCTCATAACGACCCGCTTCCCTTTAACGTCCAGCTTGTCCAGCGTCAGCTTGTTAGAAAGCGACATTTTGGAAATACAGCTGGGGAGAGAGGTCGGTGATTCGGTCAACGAGGGAGCCGACTGCCGACGTGCGCTCCGGAGGCTTGCAGAATGCGGAACACCGCGCGGGCAGGAACAGGGCCCACACTACCGCCCCACACCCCGCCTCCCGCACCGCCCCTTCCCGGCCGCTGCTCTCGGCGCGCCCTGCTGAGCAGCCGCTATTGGCCACAGCCCATCGCGGTCGGCGCGCTGCCATTGCTCCCTGGCGCTGTCCGTCTGCGAGGGTACTAGTGAGACGTGCGGCTTCCGTTTGTCACGTCCGGCACGCCGCGAACCGCAAGGAACCTTCCCGACTTAGGGGCGGAGCAGGAAGCGTCGCCGGGGGGCCCACAAGGGTAGCGGCGAAGATCCGGGTGACGCTGCGAACGGACGTGAAGAATGTGCGAGACCCAGGGTCGGCGCCGCTGCGTTTCCCGGAACCACGCCCAGAGCAGCCGCGTCCCTGCGCAAACCCAGGGCTGCCTTGGAAAAGGCGCAACCCCAACCCCGTGGAATTCGAGGCTGCCCTACCAGGATCAATGCAAATGCCACCTCCTTTTGGAAAATCCTGGTTTCCTAGCTCCCTTCATGGAATTCTGCTTCTTAAGGCTTACTTAGTAATAGAGACCTCTCAGAAGTTGGAAGAGGCCCAGGTCCACTCTGGCCCCCACCTTTTTTAAAATAAAAAATGCAATGTAATTTTTCTGGTTATGGCATGATTGATGCTAATGGCAAACACGTGGCATTTTTCATATATTAACCAACGCTCACAAAACGCAGTAGTGACTACTGTTATCCTCATTAGGCAAATGAAATAACTGATGCACAGAGAAGTTTAGTGGGCCAGGCGCGGTGGCTCACGCCTTTAATCCCGGCACTTTGGGAGGCCAAGGCCGGCAGATTGCTTGAGCCCAGTGGTTCGAGACCAGCCTGAGCAACATAGCAAAACCCCATCTCTACTAAAAATACAAAAAATTAGCTAGACGTGGTGGCGGGCACCTGTAGTCCTGTTACCCGTGGAGGGTGTCCAAGTTCTTAGCGTCTTGAACTAAGAACTGGACGAAATGCACAAAGCAAAGAAAGAATGAAGCAATAAAAGCAGAGATGTATTGAAAACGAAAGTGTAACCGCCCAATGGGTTCACCTTGTCCGCTGCCTAGACAGAGCTGATTTATGAAGACGGGAATTGCAATGGCGAAAGAATAATTCACGCTGAGCGCTGTGCGGGAGACCAGAGTTTCATTATCACTCAAATCAGTCTCCCTGAGCATTCTGGAATCAGAGTTTTTAAGGATAATTTGGCAGGTATGGGTTCGGAAAGTGGGGAGTGCTAGTTGGTCGGGATGAAGATTAAATCACGGGGTCGAAGTGAGTTCTTGCGAGTTCTTCCTGGGTGGGATCGTGGAGCTAGTTGAGCCAGATTATCAGTCTGGGTGGTGTCCTCTGCTGCATGAGAATGCAGGGTCTGCAAAATATCTCAAGCACTGATCTTAGGATTTGCAATGGTGATGTTATTCCCAGAAGCAATTTGGGGAGGTTCAGATTCTTGCAGCCAGAGGCTGCATGGCCCCTAAACTGTAATTTATAATCTTGTAGCTAATTTGTTACACCTACAAAGAAAGGCAGACTGGTCCCAGCAAGAAGGGGAAAGGGCTGTTATCAATTTTGTCTCAGAGTTTACACTATAAATTCTTTCCCAAGGCTAGTTTGGCCTATACCCAGGAATGAACAAAGACATTTTAGAAGTTAGAAGGAAGATAGGGTAGGTTAGGTCTGATCTCTTTCACTGTCATAATTTCCTCAGTTATGATTTTTGCAAAGGCGGTTTCAAAAGTATACTCCACAAGGTGAGAGCAGGCCTGAGCAAGCAGCTCAAGAGCTTGGTTACAGAATTTTCTGGGGTCTAAATACCCGGTAGAGGTTTCCCATTAGCCACTTGGTGTATACCCCATGCAAATGAAGTAGTGGTCCATGGTCAGTCTGATTGGTTGCAGAAAGTGACCAATCAGAGGCTGAAGTGAAGTTACAAAGTTACACTCCTATACAAATGAAAACTTGGCCTGCCACCAGCCTGATTGGTTGCAGGAAGGGACCAATCAGAGGTACTTTCAATTTCTCATTCAACTGACTTTTATTCACAGTGCTGGGAAAATATATATACTGACTGAGGAGATATTCTAGTTAACCAAGTGTGATGATGATATATCACTCAGATTCCCTCTTTCAGAACTGAGGCACTTATTATTAGCTGCTGGGAGTATTAGTTGCTGACAGCTCACAGCTGAGTTTCTCCCCAGAAACTGCCCTCTGTTGAAGGAAGCTGCCTTGCCTAAGGTTATACCGACTTCCCAGGGGCATCCATTAGTGATTGCTTAATGCCGTTCCAAAGGCCTGGCTTCTTTGCTTCATTTCAGGACGTCTCTAAAGGACCAGCTCTGCTTCAGAACTGTCTGTGGGGTTGGCTGAAGCCTCTATTGAGACTTCTCCCTTTTCTATCCAAATCTGATTTCCTTACTCCTTTACAGGACTTGTTCCCAGAAGCAACCCCCAGTGATCCACCTGCACACAAATCTCAATCTCAGAGCCATTTCCCAATTCTAAGATGGTGCCCATGATCTCTGCCCTCTAGTGTTCACATCTTTCTATAATTTCCTCCCCTTGAATGTGAGCTGGAACTATGACTGGCTTCTAACCAATAGAATGTGGCAGAAGTGATGAGATATAACTCCCATGATTAGATTATGATGTATATAGGAGATTCCATCTTTCTAGTTTGCTCTAGAGAGACACCCTTGTTGGCTTTTTTTTTTTTTTTTTTTTTTTGAGACGGAGTCTCACTCTGTTGCCCAGGCTGGAGTGCAGGGACACAATCTCGGCTCACTGCAACCTCCGCCTCCCGGGTTCAAGCAGTTCTCATGCCTCAGACTCCTGAGTAGCTGGGATTACAGGTGCATGCCACCACGCCCAGCTAATTTTTGTATTTTTAGTAGAGACGTAGTTTCACCCTGTTGGCCAGGCTGGTCTCGAACTCCTGACCTCAAATGATCCGCCCGATTCGGCCTCCCAAATTGCTAGGATTACAGGTGTGAGCCACCACACCCAGCCCAATGTTATTTCTTTAAACCAATGAGAATTCTTGACAAACAACTTTGCAATCACCCCCACTCCTGATTCATCCTTTTTTCTTAAAAAATTTGAACCTCCCCATTGTTCTCCAGAGTACTCTTCAAGGCAACCTGGAAGTGTGTCCCAGGCTGCAGTTCTCAACCATGGCCCAAATGACCTTTCCATATTTTGCCTACACTTCTTCCTTTTAGGTCGACATGATCTATGGAGAAAAATCAGTTGAAGATATCTGTAATGTTAAATTTGTTAACCATAAAATGCAACTGGGAGACAGATTGCAGGCAATTTTATGAAAAAACTTAATAAGACCATATTGAAAAAAAATACATTTTTCAGAAAAATACCAGTAACATGGTATTAGAGACAGATATAGCTAAGAAACTGATCAAAATATGTGTATGCCCCAAAAAAATCTGCTTGTGGTTATTTTTTTTGGAGGGAGCGGGGAGGGTTGTTTGTTTGCTTGTTCTAAAGACAGGACCTCGCTCTGTCTCCCAGGCTGGAGTGCAGTCCAGCAATCAGCTCACTGCAATCAGGCTCAACCTCTGGGGTTCAAGGGATCCTCCTGCCTCAGTCTCCCAAGTAGCTAGGACTACAGGCATGAGCCACCACGCCCAGCCTCCTTAAACTCTTTAAAGTATCCCAGTTTAGGTGATAAATCATATGGTCTCTCTAAGGCTATAGGATCTTTCTTTTTGTGGCTTTTTCCTATCCTTTAGTTTAGTTATCTATTACCCAGATCCCCTTTTATATATAAGTGTAGTCTTCTGTAAATATAAAAGACCCACTTAAATTGTCTATTCTTTATCACATTCAAGGGAGATATCAAAGGAAGGGAGATAGGAAGTTCAGAGGTATAAACGGGGTCGGGCTTTTGTTCCCTGAGAGGCTTCTTTTTGCCAATTAATTCATTAACAAGCCCCAATAGTTGCCTCAGAAATAGATTGATACCTCCAGGGACATGTGAGTAAAGCAGTGAGAAAAGAAAAAAAAACGCACACATACAGCAACATATACAGAAAAAGAGAAAGAGCATGCAAGAGCTCTAAAAATAGTAAATACAATTCTAATCAAAGAGAATCCCACAAATATGAAGGTAAGAGGTAGAGCCTATATGAATCCTAGACTCCTCTGCACCAATCCTCTATTGTGAATTCCTGGAGGAAAGTTTATGCCATTATTTACGTTACAATGCCCCAATACCTTCTACATTGGGGTCTTTACCATCAGGTCACCATTGTAACAGAGACCATTTTCCCTTTCTTTACTAATAGAACTCCTAAATTTTAATCAAACACATGGCTCTCCAACAAGAGACTACATTTCTCCATCTTCCTTGTGGCTTGGAGTGACCATGTGAGCAAGTTCTGGGCAACTGATATAAGCCATTTCCACATAGTGACCCTAAAAAGGAAAGTTCATGCTGTCTTTAGGCCCTTTTCTGCCTTCTGCTGACTGGGAGATGGCAGAAGCTGGGGCAGCCACCTTGGCCTCAGTGATGGTAGTGCTTCCTCACCAGCCCTGGACCACTCACCTCTATACTGTTAACATGACAGAGAAATCAACTTCTATCTTGTTTAAACTACTTGTGTACAATCTTTGTTACAGTACCAGTCCCCTCCCTAATAAAACTATGGTGAGCTAACCTTGCAAAATGAAAAAAGCACACATTGAGTCACTGGAACATGAGTAGAAAGACCAATGGGACAGAATAGAAAGTCTATAAATAGAACCAAATGCATGTAGAAAATTAGTACCGAGTCAAATCAGTGGGGTAATAATGGACTTTTATTTTAAATCAATGGTCTTGAGACAACTGCATAGCTATATAGAAAAGATAAAGTTTGATCTCTTCTTCACACATATGGCAGGCAAACTCTGAGTGACACAAAGATCTAATAGATTTACCCTTTGAGCCAGCAGTTCCATTTCTGTGAATCTAATGTAAGGATAGATCTCTGGACTTTATGTATTTCTGTATGTACATTTTCTCATTTGTCATAGCAAAGGACAGGAAAAATCCCAAGTGTCTGTCAATAAAGGACTAGTTAAACTATGGTACATGAATACAATAGAATACTGTACTATATGAAGCTTAAGAATGAGGGAGCTCATTCCATATCAAGGCTGCAGTAAGCTGTGATGGCGCCACTACACTCTGGTTTGGGTGGCAGAGAGAAACCCTGTCTCCTGTCTCTACAAATATATATATATATATATTTGTATGTATATGGCTTCTTGGCTTGTGTTTGCATAATGAAACACTGGCAGGACACAGTGGCTCACGACTGTATCCCAGCCCTTTAGGAGGCCAAAGCCGGATAATCGCTGGAGGCAAGGAGTTCGAGACCACCCTGGGCAACATACCAAGACCCCTGTCTCTACAAAAAAAAAGAAGAAGAAACACTGAAAGGATATATAAGAAATGAATAACATTGTTATTTATGGGAGTAGGAAGTGTAAGTTAGATGGGGACAGGAGTAGGTATGGGGGTTCTAAATGTAAATCTTGTTAGTTTATTTTTTGAACCATGTTAATGTATTACTTATTCAAAATAAGTAACTTAAAAAGAAATCGGGGTTAGACAAACAAGATCATCCATAAGCTACATTAGGAAAGCCCAAGATTTTCTGAGAGGCCAAAGCTATCAGTAGTCGCTGCTACTTAAACAACTCACTGAATACCACTGTGCCCCCAGTGAACCTACAGAAAAGGAAATCAAGAAAAATGGCATGTCTTTGGGCTGTAAACTGGCTAGAGAATCCAGATACCATGAAACAACAGTAGAAATTCATACAGAAGTTGATGGGTTTAGCATTCTCTATGGTGGTAGATGAGACTTCTTTCTGTCCCTTTTCTTGTCATCAAGTATGGTTTCATGTGCAGTCACTTTAGACCACATAGTAAAATGGCAGAGATCATCAACAATGAGATCACAAAATGCAATGAGCTTTTGTTGAATCACTTAGCCTCTGGGACATGTGCAAAGACAGCTAGATGTGTAGAGAGAATTCATAATGATGGCTAAGTAGCTGCCTTGCTCAGATTTTCTGCACTGAACTACCAAGGATACAAATGTTACCCTTTAAGGCAATGATTGAGTAAAAGGTTGGAATGCTCTGGCTAAATAGTGAATTGGGGAGTTATCATATTAGGTAGTTACCACCCAGTAATACCTTATTATGCATTAACTAGTTAACTAGAGTTCTGAAATGTGAACAATAAGTTATTAGGTTTTCATGCTGAAATAAAGGCTAAAAGGAATAGTGCAATGAATAGTATCAGAAGAGGGCAGGCTTGGGAGAGTAACAGTAATGGGGGTTTAGGGAAGGGGATGAAGCATGAGAGTCTGGGAAATGACAAGGTACAGACCTGGTCATGGAGGAGCCATTACAAAAACAGCCTAGTTCCATGTAGCTTGCCACACAGATGTCCAAGCGCCACCTAGGTTTAGTGTTTTGTTTATTTATTTGTTTTGTTTGTTTTTGTTTTGAGACGGTGTTTTGCTCTTGTTGCCTAGGCTGGAGTGCAATGGCACGATCTTGGCTCACTGCAACCTCCGCCTCCCGGGTTCAAACGATTCTCCTGCCTCAGCCTCCCAAGCAGCTGGGATTACAGGCACCTGCCACCATGCCCAGCTAATTTTTGTATTTTTAGTAGAGACAGGGTATCACCATGTTGGACAGGCTGGTCTCGAACTCCTGACCTCGTGATCCACCCGCCTCAGCCTCCCAAAGTGCTGAGCCACCGCTCAGCCACCGCTCCCGGCCTCACCTAGGTTTATTAAATCATATGTCCTGTGAAATTCCAAATGGAACAACAATGTAATGCACTTAAAGGGAAGTTATAAAACTTCTTAAGTACCCCCAGGTGAATCTAATGCACAATAAGCCTCGCAAACTGCAACTTTCTGGTATCTACTGGCCATGACAGTTATATTTCTCACTGCAAATAAATTTATTTTTTCTGTCAGGCAGTTTCTCGAGGGATCAACCCTGGACATGCCTAATTCCCCAATGAGAGTGGGGTAGCCAAATAGCTCATGATCGAAGACTGGAATTAACACAAATGAAAACAGAGAGGGCAAAATAAACATTTTAAGAACAGTTTAAAGTAAGGCAAGTTTGCACAGACACTGGCCTAATCATAAGATGAAGGAATTGAAACTGGCTTTGCAAAAATTATATCAGTGTGTAATAGAGCAGCTTAGCTTCAAACCATGTTTTAAAACTTTTTTTTTCTTTTCTTCTTTCCCCCCAGTCTCAAGACATAGCTTTGACATAAACTACAGAAGTGTTTTCTTTTTCCTTGAAATACAGCCTGGGGATGTGCTTTAAAATTCCACTTCCTCCCCTTTCCCACCTTATGCTCCCATGCCTTATGCATATTTATTTACCTGGATGCTTGTTAAGTTCACACTGGCTCACTTACCTGGTCATATATTTCCTTAGAAGCTTCAAGGACTGAATCCTGACAGGAAACAGGCACCTCCAGGATTCTCTCCCCAGCAGAAGATTACTTCAAGACCGGAGTTCCCTCTGGACTGACTGCAAGATTGAATGTGATTGATTTGTAACCTGTCAGGTCCACAATGGTGCCATGGAACAATAATTCAAGATAAGCCATCAGAGCAAGTCACACCATTTGGCACCTCCTAGCCCCCTTCCTCTCTTGCATTCCAAGCCCCTCTTCTTAAACCCTTGCCGTCTCTCCAGAAATTGGAAATTGGCAATTTTTGGAAAGGATTCCAGCCACTTTCCCCCTCGCTGGCAACGGATAATAAAATTCACTCTCTTTTTATCATACCTGGCTCCTGTTATTTTAACTTCTTACTGCAACCATCAAGCAGCCAGACCCTCTTTTGGTTATAAGACATACTCACAAATTCCAGCAGAATCTACTATTATGGTTACAAACTAAAGGATAATGTTCACATATGCATAGTATTAAAATAATTAGTGGTCATACACTGAACCATCCACCACATCACATTTCTCTCACTATTAGCCATGTTATCATTAAACATAAAGGACAATAAATTAAATATATGTAATTTAAGTACTTTTACCAATGGAGGTGAGCAATGTTAGATAATTCAAGCTATCAAATAATTCAAAACAAATATCATTTTGGCTGTGGAATATATTTTAAAATGTGCTCTGCTTTAACAAAACCAAATATATATCAAAGCTCAGATGATAAGAGGTAAGTGTTTACTCGAATTACAAAAGATTTTTTGCGTTATAGCAAGTGTGCTTAGAGTATGATTCTGTTTATAATAATTCCTCTTGTTGCCATCACTTTAAATCTGTTAAATTTATTTTAATTATTTGGGGAGTTGAGGAGCAAGTAATGACTGAAAGGGACACAAGGAGGCTTCTGGGTGCTAACAATGTTCTGTTTGCTGATTGGCTGCCCATTACATGGGTGTTTTCAGTTTCTGGAATTTCATCAGCTTACAATATGTTTGCTTTTATGTATGTATACATCAATCGAAAGGTTAAAAATAAAAGATGGAGGCTGAGTGTGATGGTGCACTTCTGTAGTCCAGTGACTCAGGAACCTGAAGCAGAAGGATTGCTTGATCCCAGGAGTTTGAGGATGCAGTGAGCTATGATCGCACTACTGCACTCCAGCATGGACGAAAGAGTGAGACTTTGTCTCTAAAATAAAATAAAGGATGGACAGAAGTATAGCAGAAAAACAGTAAGAACACACAACAAAACATAAACAATGCTAGGGCATTATATCTAAACAGATGCTATCTCATTTTCTTTTCTTTTCTTTTTTTGTTTGTTTGTTTTCTTTGGAGAGACAGTGTCTCGCCCTGTTGCCCATTCTGGAGTACAGTGGCATCATCATAGTTCACAGCATCCTGGAACCCCTGGGCTCAAGCCCTCCTCCAGGCTCAAGCCATTTTCCTGCCTCAGCGTCCCGAGTACCAAGGGCTATAGGCACACACCACCACAGTCAGCTAACTTTTTAATTTTGTAGAGACGGGGTCTCGCACTATTGCCCAGGCTGATCTTGAGCTCCTGGCTGCAAGCAACCCTCTCTCTTCAGCCTCCCAAAGTGCTGGGATTACAGGCATGAGCCACCACACCCAGCCGATGCTGTCTCATTTTCCTGTGAGTTTCATCAAAACCAAACAATCCTGTCCCACTCACCAATCTAGAAATAACTGTGAACTGCATGTGGAAGAAAATTTGGATATGGATGTGAATGACTGAACAAATGGGAATTAAATTTTTGACAGTACTTTCTTTTTATTTATTTTTTTTTTTTCAGACAGAGTTTTGCTCTGTTGCCCAGGCTGGAGTGCAGTGGCATGATCTCGGCTCACTCCAAACTTTGCCTCCCGGATTCAAGTGATTCTCCTGCCTCTGCCTCCCAAGTAGCTGAGATTACTGGCATGCACCGTCATGCCCTGCTAATATTTGTATTTTTAATAGAGACAGAGTTTCACCATGTTGGCCAGGCTGGTTTCAAACTCATGACCTCAGGTGATCCACCCGCCTCGGCCTCCCAAAGTACTGGGATTACAGGTGTGAGCCACCACGCCCGGCCAACATTACTTTCAAAAACAATAAGACAAAGCTTTTCGGCTATATGTATCCTCTCAGATTTTCTAGAAGAAAATTATATTGTTTGCAAACAATGACAGTTTTGTCTCTTTCTTTATAATATTTATACATTTTTCTTTCTCTTTCACATTGACTGGAACCTCCAAGAAAATGTTGACAAGAAGCAGTGTTATTGAACATCTTGCTTTTGTTTTTGACTTTATAGATACTTTCACCATCTACATAAAAGTTTCCAACTTTTTTTTACCATGTCCCACAGCAAAAAACAAACAGAAAACATTTTAGTTTTGCAATCCAGCACACACACACACACACACACACACACACACAGACACATTTTCAAGAAATAATGCTTACCCTTTCTACATGCAACACACTCTAATATTTTATATTCTAGTACATGTTTTCATGCTGAGTGCATTAAAGACATTTAGAGGCTATTGGGGAAGTATGCATATGACTAGGTTTTAGATGATATTAAGGGATTGCTGTTAATTTAGGTATGATAATAGTATTGTGATTATGTGAGGAAATGTCCTTGTATTTTAGAGATGCATACTGCTGTGGTCTGAACGTCACTTCCAAAACTCATGTTGAAACTTAATCCCCAATGTGGCAGTATTGAGAGGTGAGGCCTTTAAGAGGTGATTGGATCATGTAGGCTCTACCCTCAAGAATGGATTAATCCATTCATGAATTAATAAATTAATGGGTTATGAGTTATCATGGGAGGGGAACTGGTGGCTTTGTAAGAGAAAGAAGAGAGACCTGAACTAGCATGCTAGCACAGTAAGCCCCCTTGCCACATGCTGCCCTGTGCCACCTTGGAACTCTTCAGGGAGTTCCTGCCTGCAAGAAGGCCCTCACCAGATGTAGCTTGTCAATCTTGGACTTCTTTGCCTCCATGACTGTAAAATATACATTCCTTTTCTTGATAAGTCGAGGCAGAGCAAGATGGGGGAAGAGAAAGCTCCACGGGCCATCCCCCCCAGTCTGCAAAAACACAAAATTAACAACTATCTACACAGAAAACAACACCTTCATAAGAACCAAAAATTAGATAAGCACTCCTAGTACCTTGTTTTAACTTCGTATTACTGAAAGACGTACTGAAGAGATAGGAAAAACAGTCCTGGATCTATAACGCCACCCCTCCCCTACCCTGGTAGCAAAAGCATGGTGTGGAGAGCATCTCTGGGAGGTGGGGGAGGCAGAGCACAGCAATTGTGAGGCACTGGACTCAGTACCATCCTGTTAGAGTAGAAAGGAAACCTGAATCAAACTTAGATGACACCTGCCCACAGAGCGAGCATTTAAACCAACCCTAGCCAGAGGGGAATTGCCAGTCCCAGCGATCCCATCTTGAGTGCATGCAAACCTTGCCACCGAGGGCTACAGCACTCCGTGTCTCCAAGCAAACTTGAAAGACTGTCTAGGCCATAAGGACTGCAACTCTTAGGCAGCCCTAGTCTTGAACTAGGCCTAAAGGCAGTGGAATGAGGGGGCACGATGTGTCATACCGAAACACCAGCTGGGGCAGCCAAGGGAGTGCTGGGATCACCCCTCCCCTAACCCCAGGCTGCACAGCTTGAGGCTCCAAAAGAGACCTCTTCATTCCACTTAAGGAGAGGAGAGGGAAGAGTAGGGAGGACTTTGTCTTGCATCTAGGAAACCAGCTCAGTCACAGCAGGATAGGGCACCAGTCTGAGTTGTGAGACCTCTGTTTCAGACCCTAGCTCCCAGATGACATTTCTAGAAGGGAACCTACTGCTTTGAAGGAAACGACCCAGTCCTGGCAGCATTTATCACTTGCTAACTGAAGAGCCCTTGGGCCCTGAATAACCAGCAGCAATACCCAGGTACTACATCAAGGGCCTTCAGTGAGCCTCTGAGATTTGCTGGATTCACATGGAACTCAGCACATTACCAGCTGTGGTGGTTACCAGGAAAAATTCCTTCTGCTTGAGAAAAGCAGAAAGAAAAGTAAGGGGGCTTAGGTACCAGAACAGCCACAGGGGGGTAGTAGAGCACCAAGCAGGCACTTGGGGCTCTGATTCCAGGACTTAACTCTTCGATGACATTTCTGGACATGCCCTGGCCCAGAGGGAAAACCACTGCCCTGAAGGGGCAAGCCTGGGCAGTCCCAAGCCAGGCAGCATTCACCACAGGCTGACTTAGACCTTGGGGCTTAAGAGAACATCGGCTACAGCCTGACAATACTCCTCATGGCCTAGGGTGGCAGTAGCTACTGGGTGGGGCTCATCTTCCTTTGCAAAGGGGAGGGAAGAGTGGAAAGGACTGCATCTTGTGGTTTGAGTGCCAGCTCAGCCGCAATACAGTAAAACAACAGGTAGATATCTAAGATATTTGATTGTTGTCCCTGGCCCCTAGACAGCACTTCCAGACCCAACTGGGGCCTGAGGAACCTTGCTGCCCTGAAGGAAAGAATACAGGCCTCACTTGCTTTGCCACCTGCTGATTGTAGAGGCCCAGGGCCTGGAGGGAACATAAGCAGTAGCGACGGACATAAGCAGTAGCGACGGAGTGGTCACAGCAGGCCTTGGGGAAGACGCAGTGCTGTGCTGACCTCAGGTCTGACCCAAAGCAGTCAAAGTAGTGTTGGCCACAGGGGTGCTTGTGTCACTCCATCCCCAGCTTTAGGTGGCTCAGAACAGAGAGAGAGACTCAGTATGTTTGGGAGATAGTAAGGGAAGAGAACAAGGGTCTCTGCCTGGCAATCCAGAGAATTCGCTCAGATCTTATGCAAGACCATCAAGGCAGTACCTCTATGAGTTTGCAAAAACCACAGCATTACTGAGCTTGGAGTGCCCCCTAAAGAAGATATAGCTTAGATCACAACACTGAAGTTCTTTCAAATATCTGAAAAGCCTCCCCAAGAAGGACAGCTACAAATAACCCCAGACAGTGAAGACTACAATAAAGACCTAACTCCTTAATGCCCAGACACCAAAGAATATCTACTAGCAACAACAACATTCAGGAAAGCATAGCCTTACCAAATGAACTAAATAAGGCACCAAGAATCAATCCTGGAGGAACATATATGTAATCTTTCAGACAGAGAATTCAAAATATCTGTGTTGAGGAAACTCAAAAAAATTCAAGATAACACAGAGAAGGAATGCAGAATTGTATCAGATATATTTAACAAAGAGATTGAAATAATTAAAAAGAATCAAGCAGAATTGCTGGAGTTGAAAAATGCAATTGGCATACTGAAGAATGCATCAGAGTCCATTAATAGCAGAATTGCTCAAACAGAAGAAAGAATTAGTGATCTTGAAGACAGGCTATTTCAAAATACACAGGAGACAAAAGAAAAAATAATAAAAAACAATAAAGCATGCCTATAGGATATAGAAAATAGCCTCAAAAGGGCAAATCTAAGAGTTATTGGCCTTAAAGCAGAGGTAGAGAAAGACATAGGGGTAGAAAGTTTATTCAAAGGGATAATAACAGAGAACTTCGCAAACCTAAAGAAATATATCAATATCCAAAAACAAGGTTATAGAATACCAAGCAGATTTAACTCAAAGAAGATTCCCTCAAAGCATTTACTATCAAACTCCCAAAGATGAAGGATAAAGACAAAATTTTAAAAGCAGCAAGAAAACAGAAACAATTAAAATTAAATGGACCTTCAATACATCAGGCAGCAGACTTTTCAGTGGAAACCTTAAGGCCGAGAGAGTGGCATGACATATTTAAAGTGCTGAAGGAAAAAAAAAATGTTTACCCTGGAATAGTACGTTTGGTGAAAATATCCTTCAAACATGAATGAGAAATAGATTTTCCCAGAAAAACAAAAGCTGAGGGATTTCATTAACATCAGACTTGTCCTATAAGAAATGCTAAAGGGAGTACTTCAATCAGAAAAAAAAGGACATTAATGAGATATAAGTAATCATCTGAAGGTACAAAACTCACTGGTAATAGTAAGTACAAAGAAAAACACAGAACATTATAACACTGTAACTGTTTTGTGTAACTACTCTTATCTTAAGTAGAAAGACTAAACAATGAACCAATCCAAAAATAATAACTGCAATGACTTTTCAAGACTCAGACAGTACAATAAAATATATATAGAAACAATAAAATGTTAAAAAGTGGAGGTATAAAATTAAGGCATACAGTATTAGTGGGTTTTTTTTTGCTTGTTTATGCAAACAGTGTTGTCATTAGCTTAAAATAATGGATTATAGTATCTCCAAGCCTCATAGCAACCTCAAACCATAAAACATACAATTGATACACAAAAAATAAAAAACAAGAAACTAAATCATATCACTAGAGAAAATTATCTTCACTAACGAATTCAAGAAGGAGAAAAAGAAGCAAGAGAAGACCACAAAACAACCAGAAAACAAATAACAAAATGACAGGAGTAAGTCCTTACTTATCGATAATCACATTGACTGTAAATGGACTAAACTCTCCAAACAAAAGACATAAAATGGAGGCTAGGTGGGGTGGCTCACGCCTGTAATCCCAGCACTTTGGGAGGCTGAGGAGGGCAGATCACTTGAGGTCAGGAATTTGAGACCAGCCTGGCCAACATGTTGAAGCCCCATCTCTACTAAAAATACAAAAATTAACTGGGTGTGATGGCAGCCACCTGTAATCCCAGCTACTCGGGGGGCTGAGATGGAAGGATCACTTGAACCCAAGAGGTGGGGAGGTTGTAGTGAGCTGAGTTTGTGCCACCGCACTCCAGACAGAAAATGGCTGAAGGGATGACAAAACAAAAGCCATTGATCTGTTGGCTACAAGAAACATACTTCACCTATAAAGACACATGTAGACTGAGATTAAAAGGACAGGAAAAAAACATTCCATACCAATGGAAACCAAAAAAGAGCAGGAGTAGCTATACTTACAGCAGACAAAAGAGATTTCAAGACAAAAACTATAAGAAGAGAAAAAGAAGGACACTATATAATGATAAAGGGGTCAATTCAGCAAGAGGATATAACAGTTTTAAATATGTATGCACCAAACACTGTAGCACCCAGATATGTAAAGCAAATATTATTAGAGATAAAGAGAGAGAAAGGTTCCAATACAATACTAGCTGCATACTTCAACACCCCACTTTTAGCATTAAACGTATCTTCTGGACAGAAAATCAACAAAAAAAAATCAGACTTAATCTATATCATAGATCAAATGGATCTAATAGATTTTACAGAACATTTCATCCACAAGAGCTGCAGAATACACATTTCTTTCCTCCCCACATGGATCATTCTCAAGGATAGACTATATGTTATGTCACAAAACAAGCCTTAAAACATTCAAAAAATTGAAATACTATCAAGCATCTTATCTGAACAAAATGGAATGAAACTAGAAATTAATAAGAGGAATTTCGTTATACAAATACATGGACATTAAACGATATGCTCCTGAATGACCAGCGGGCAATGAAGAAATGAAGAAAGAAATTGAGGCCAGGTGCAGTGGCTCACACCTGTAATCCCATCACTTTGGGAGGCTGAGGCAGGTGGATCATGAGGTCAGGAGATTGAGACCATCCTGACTAACACAGTGAAACCCCATCTCTACTAAAAATACAAAAAATTAGCTGGGCGCGGTGGCACACACCTGTAGTCCCAGCTACTCGGGAGGCTGAGGCAGGAGAATTGCTTGAACCCAGGAGGCAGAGGTTGCAGTGAGCCGTGAGCGTGCCACTGCACTCCAGCCTAAGCGGCAGAGCAAGACTCCATCTAAAAGAAAAGAAAAAGAAATTTTAAAATTTCTTGAAATGAATAATAATGGAAACACAACATACCAAAGCCTATGGGATACAGCAAAAGCAGTACTAACAGGGAAGGTTACAGCTATAAGTGCCTACATCAAAAAAGAGGAAAAACTTTAAATGAACAATCTAACAATGCATCATAAAGAACTAGAAAAGTAAAAGCAAATCAAACCCAAAATTAGTAGAAGAAAAGAAATAATAAAGATCAGAGCAGAAATAAATCAAATTGAAATGAAAAAATAATACAAAAGGGCAATGAAACAAAAAGTTGGTTTTCCAAAAAGTTAAACAAAATTGACAAACCTTTACCAGACTAAGAAAAAAAGAGAGATGGTTCAAATAAATAAAATCAGAAGTGAAAAAGGACACATTGCAACCAATACTGCAGAAATTCAAAGAATCGTTAGTGGCTACTGTGAGCAACTATATGCCAATAAATTGGAAAATCTAGAATAAACGGATGAATTCCTAGATACTAGACCCTAGAAATCCAAAACCTGAAGAAAGCAATAACAAGTAATGAGATCGAAGCCATAACAAAAAGTCTCCCAGCCGGGCAGAGTGGCTCATGCCTGTAATCCTAGCACTTTGGGAGGTTGAGGTGGGCAGATCACTTGAGGTCAGGAGTTCGAAACCAGGCTCTACTAAAAATACAAAAAAAATAGCTGGGCATGGTGGTGGGTGCCTGTAATCCCAGCTACTCGGAAGGCTGAGGCAGGAGAATTGCTTGAACCTGGGAGGCAGAGGTTGCAGTGAGCTGAGATCGTGCCACTGCACTCCAGCCTGGGCAACAGAGCAAAACTCCTTCTCAAAAAAAAAAAAAAAAAAAAAGTCTCACACACACACACACACACACACACACACACACACACACACACACAAAGCCTGGGAACTGATGGCCTCATGACTGAATTCTACCAAACATTTAAAGGAGAATTAATACCAATCATCCACAAACTATTCTTAAAAATAGAGGAGAAAGGAATACTTCCAAACTCATTCGACACATTCAGTATTACCCTGATCCCCAAACCAGACAAAGACACATCAAAACAAGAAAACTACAGGCCAGTATCTCTGATGAATATTAATGCATAAATCCTCAACAAAATACTAGCAAATCAAATTCAACAGTACATTAAGATGATTCATCATGACCAAGTGGGATTTATGCCTAGGATGCAAGGTGATTCAACATTCACAAATCAATCAATGTGATACATCATATCAACAGAATGAAGGATAAAAACCATATCAGATCATTCAATTGATGCTGAAAAAGAAGTTGATAAAATTCAACATCGCTTCGTGATAAAAACTCTCAAAAAACTGGCTATAGAAGGAACATACCTCAACATAATAAAAGCCATATATAGCAAACCCACAGCTAGTATCATACTGAATGCGGAGAAACTGAAAGCCTTTCCTCTAAGGTTGGGAACATGGCAAGGATGCCTACTGTCACCACTGTTATTCAACATAGTACTAGAAGTTCTTGCTAGAGCAATCGGACAAGAGAAAGATATAAAGAGCCTCCAAATTGAAAATGAAGAAGTCAAATTATCCTTGTTTGCAAATGATATCGTCTTATATTTGGAAAAACCTAAAGACTTCACAGGAAAACTATTAGAACTGATAAATAGTTTAGTAAAGTCACAGGAAACAAAATAAACATACAAAAATCAGTAGCATTTCTATATGCCAACAGTGAACAATGTGAAAAAGAAATTTTAAAAGTAATCCCATTTAATGTTATGCCACACATAACACTAAATACCTAGGATTAACCAAAGAAGTGAAAGATCTCTATAATGAAAATTATAAAACACTGATGAAAGAAATGGAAGAGAATGCCGAAAAAGGGAAACATATTCCATGTTCATGGATTGGAAGAATCACTATTGTTAAAATGTCCATACTACCCAAAGCAATCTATAGATTCAATGCAATCTCTATCAAAATATCAGTGACATTCTTCACAAAAATAGAAAATCCTATCCTAAAATGTATATGGAACCGCAAAAGACCCAAACAGCCAAATCTATACTAAGCAAAAAGGACAAAACTGGAGGAATCACATTACCTGACTTCAAATTATATTACAGAGTTATAGTAACCACACATATCAGCTCTAACTAAACTGGAGATAATTATTGAGTACTTAAGATTGAACAAGCATTGTGCAAAATGCTTTACACGTTGTGTTAGTTTTCTCAAGCTGCCGTAACAGCTGGATGGTTTAGACAACAGAAATTTATTTTCTCACAGTTCTGGAGGCTAGAATTCCAAGATCAAGGTGTTGATAAGGTTGATTTTACTCCCAGGCCTCTCTCCTTGGTTTGCAGGTGGCTAACTTCTCACTGTGTCCTCATATGGTCTTTACTCTGTGCACACACAACCCTGGTGTCTCTTTGTGTGTGCAAATGTTCTCTTCTGATAAGAACACCAGTCAGATTGAATTAAGGCCCACCCTTACAGCCTCATATTAACTTGATTACTTCTTAAAAGCCCTATCTCCACATACGGTCACATTCTGAGATACTGGGGGTTAGAGCTTCATCATATGAATTTTGAAGAGACATAATTCTGCCCATAACACATGTATTATCTGGTTATTCAACAATATTATGAGGTATATTCATTCCTCATTTTACCTCTGAAATTCTCCCTTTCCCATCAATGCTTCCTAACCTTCTACCATCTCCCTTTATTTCCTCTTCACATTCCCGTCCAGACATAGGCCCACAGTAGTCTGCTTATATAAAAATGTTAATATCACAATTATTTATTTCACATATTTGTTCTTGTTTAATATCAGGAAGTGCATGGTTAACTCTATCACTTTTGCTTATTCTGATACATTTCCATCCTTGCCTGGGTGCAAAACCTATGGAAATCAAAGGAAGACCATCTGTTGAATTGCACAGGACACTGCACACCACAGCTGACAAGAGATGCCTGTCAAGGGCACTGGATATGGGCCTCGAATCTGCAGCTTCACAGAGCTTGAAGAGAGGGTCAACTCTGCCACTTAGGAACTTCTCCATGATTTTCTTCATGTGTGGTAATTTACCTTTATTTAAAAAAAATTAATAGACTTCATTTTTAGAACAATTTTAGCTTTATAGAAAAATTGAGCAGTAAGTACAGAAAGTTCCCATAGACATCCCCCTTTGCCCACACCCTCACATATACATAGATTCCCCTACATTAATATCTTGCATTAGTGTGGTACATTTATTACAAGTGATGAATCTATATTGAACACATTGTTATTATTATTATTATTATTATTATTATTATTATTATTAACTAAAGTGTATAGTTTACATTAGGGTTCACTCTTTGTGTTGTATGTTCTGTGGGTTTGACAAATGTATAATGACATATATCCACCATTACAGAATCATAAATAATATTTTCACTGCCCTAAAAATCCTCTTGCTCCACCTACTCATCTCTCCCTCCCTGTTCCCTAACCCCTGCCAACCACTGATCCTTTTACTGTCTCCATAGTTTTGCTTTATCCAGAATGTCATACACTTGGAATCATACAGTGTTTTAGTTCGTTTTCTGTTACTATAGCTGAATGCCCGAGACTGGGTAATTTATAAAGAAAAGGAATTTATTTCTTATAGTTCCGGAGGCTGGGAAGTCTAAGGTTGAGGGGCCACATCTGATGAGGGTCTTCTTACTGCATCATAACATAGCAGAAAGCATCACTTGGCAAGAGGGCAAGAGCATGCCAGCTCAGGTCTTTCTTCCTTTTCTTATAAAGCCACCAGTCCCACACTAATGACTTTATCTAACCCTAATTACCTCCCAAGGCTCCACCACCAAATGCCATCAAAATATGAATTTGGGGATTAAGGTTTCAACACATGAAATTTTAACGACACATTCAAACCATAGCATACAGTATGTACCATTTTAAGGTTGGCTTCTTTCACTTAGCAATACATGTTTAAGGTTCCTTCACATCTCTTTGTGCCTTGAGAGGTCATTTCTTTTTATCATTGAATAAATAAATATTCTATTATCTGGATGTATCACAGTTCATTCATCTATTGAAGGACATTATGGTTGCTCCCAAATTTTGGCAATTATGGGTGAAGCAGCTATAAACAAACATTTGTGTGTAAGTTTTTATGTGGTTGATTTATCTTTTATTTAAAAATGAGAGTTTTTCTGAAATACTTTTTTTTTTTTGAGGTGGAGTCTCACTCTGTTGCCCAGTCTGGAATGCAGTGGCCCAATCTTGGCTCACTGCAACCTCCACCTCCAAGATTCAAGCGATTCTCCTGCCTCACCCTCCTGAGCAGCTGAGATTACAGGCGCGCCACCACACCCGGCTAATTTTTTGTGTTTTTAGTAGAGAGGGGGTTTCACTATATCGGCCAGGCTGATCTCAAAGTCCTGACCTCATGACCCGGCCGCCTCGGCCTCCCAAAGTGCTAGGATTACAGGCGTGAGCCACCGTGCCCGGCCTGAAATACATTTTTAATGTTAGTTTTTCATTACAAAATAATACATGCTTGCTGCCACAAATTCAAATGACATGGAAGTAAATAAAGTAAAAAGTGAAAGCTGGTCCCTGATTCTGCTGAGAGATCATTAAAGAAAAAATAATTGGCCGGGCGCAGTGGCTCACACCTGTAATCCCAGCACTTTGGGAGGCCGAGGCGGGCGGATCACGAGGTCAGGAGACCGAGACCATCCTGGCCAACATGGTGAAACCCTGTCTCTACTAAAAATACAAAAATTAGCTGGGTGCGGTAGCTGGCGTTTGTAATCCCAGCTACTCGGGAGCTTGAGACAGGAGAATCGCTTGAACTCGGGAGGCGGAGGTTGCAGTGAGCCGACATCGTGCCACTGCACTCTAGCCTGGCGACAGAGTAAGACTCCGTCTCAAAAAAAAAAAAAGAAAAGAGAAAAAGGAAAAAATAATAAACGATAATAAAATAAGATGGTCCCTAACATCACTTTCCAATCATTCCTTTTGTAATATAAAATAAGACTGTGCGCACTGGCTCACGCCTGTAATCCCAACACTTTGGGAGGCTGAGGTGAGAGGATTGTTTGAGGTCAGAAGTTCAAGACCAGCCTGGGCAACATAGGGAGACACCATCTCTACAAAAATTTCTAAAAATTAGCCGGGTGTGGCCGCCTGTGCCTGTAGTCCCAGCTATTCAGGAGGCTGAGGTGGAAGGATTGCTTGAGCCCGGGATGTCAAGGCTGCAGTGAGCTGTGATCGCACCACTGCACTCCAGCCTGGGAGACAGAGAAAGACTCTGTCTCCAAAAAATAAATAAATAAAATATAGATATTCATTATAGCAAATTTGGAAGACACAAAAAGTAAAATGAAGAATTGTCCCCCAGTTCCACCTCACAAAGACACCCACTATTACTAATATATTGGTGTATTTCCAGTGCTAAGGGCTTAAACAAATATATATAATATATAATATAAATAAAATATTTTATATATTAAATAAAATTATATAAATTTTTATATAAAATTTTATATAAAAAATAAATAAAATTTATATATATTAAATTTTAAAATATATATATGTACACACACACACAAACCATACACACAAATAATACAGATTGAAGAAAAATTAGAAAATACAGGTATATTAACAGAAAAATTTTAAACCACCCAAAGTTTCACCATCCAATGATCATCTCTGTTAAAATTCTGGGCTGGGCACGGCTCACGCCTGTAATCCGAACACTATGGGAGGCCAAGGTGGGCAGATCATGAGGTCAGGAGTTCAAGACCAGCCTGGCCAACATGGTGAAACTCCGTCTCTACTAAAAATACAAAAATTAGCCAGGCGTGGTGGCACACCCCTGTAATCCCAGCTTACTCAGGAGGCTGAGGCAGGAGAATCACTTAAACCCGGGAGGCGGAGGTTGCAGTGAGCCGAGATCACGTCACTGCACTTCAGCCTGGGCGACAGAGTGAGACTCCATCTCAAAATAAATAAATAAATAAAAATTCTAGTATATATCCTTATAGATATGCTCCTTCACATATAGACATATAAATGCATGTACATGAAAGTGAAATCATGCTTGACATACCATTTTTGACTTGCTTTTTTAGTTTACAATATACTGTGACATCTTTCCATTTCAATAAATATATAAATTAATACTGTCATTTATGAAGCCTCTGTCACATTCCATTATATGGACATATAATTTATTTTATCAGTGTCCTGTGGCTGAACATAATTACAGCTTCCAAGTTTTCACCATTGAACAACGCTTCAAGAAATAGCCCTGTCTTTAAGTATTTTCCAGTTACTTCCTTACTATAAATTCCTGCATTCAAAATACTAGGTCAAAGAGTATGGGCATTGAAAAAACAATGGAAAACACATACATATATACATAGATTGACTAAAATTCAAACAAAACAAAAGGATAAGCAATGAAAATAAGTCTTCCTCTTACTCCATACCTTCCAAGTGCCTCTTCGTTTTTCACAAAATTACAGGATAATATACACATGGTTTTGCTATTTTTCACTCAATATGTGTTAGAGAGATGTTCACGGTAGTACACATAGATCTTATTTTTCTTTTTTCATATTAAAAATAAATAATGATCCTTGAATTTATTATGCTAAGTGGAATAATCCAGATACAAAAGGACAAATAGTGTATGATTCTGCTTATATGAGGTACATAGAGTCACCAAATTCATACAGATAGAATGTAGAACAGTGATTACCGGGGGTTGGGGGAAGGAGGAATGGACACTTATTGTTTAGTGAGTACAGAGTTTCAATTTCAGTTTAAGGATAATAAAAAGTTCTGGAAATGTAACCGAACACAGGTCCAGTTGCTTGCTGCTTGCAGAGTCCAATCATTACAAGAGCGAGGGCTGGGCACAGTGGCTCACACCTGTAATCCCAGCACTTTGGGAGGCTGAGGTGGGTGGATCACCTGAGGTCAGGAGCTTGAGACCAGCCTGACCAAGATATAGTGAAACCCCATCTCTACTAAAAATTACAAAAATTAACTGGGCATGGTGGCACACGCCTGTAGTCCCAGCTACTTGGGAAGCTGAGGCAGGAGAATCGCTTGAGCCCAGGAGGTGGAGGTTGCAGTGAGCCAAGATAGATTGTGTCACTGCACTGCAGCCTGGGCGACAGCGCAAGACTACATCTCTCAAAAATAAATAAATAAATAAATAAATAAATAAATAAATAAATAAATATAATAACAAGAACAAGGTCTGTTAGGAAAAATAAGTGACTTTATTAGCCAAAACTAGTAAACCCCACCTGTACGTCACCATCATCAAAGACCAAAAGTAGATAAAACCACAAAGATGGGGAAAAAACAGAGAGGAAAAACGGAAAATTCTAAAAATCAGAGCACCTCTCCTCCTCCAAAGGAACGCAGCACCTCACCAGCAACGGAACAAAGCTGGAAGGAGAATGACTTTGACGAGTTTAGAGAAGGCTTCAGGAGATCAAACTTCTCCGAGCTAAAAGAGGAAGTTCGACCCAACGCAAAGAAGTTAAAAACCTTGAAGAAAGATTAGACAAATGGCTAACTAGAATAACCAATGCAGAGAAGTCCTTAAAGGACCTGATGGAGCTGAAAACCATGGCATGAGAACTACGTGAGGAATGCAGACGCCTCAGTAGCCGATTCGATCAACTGGAAGAAAGGGTATCAGTGATGGAAGATGAAATGAATGAAATGAAGCAAGAAGAGAAGTTTAGAGAAAAAAGAATAAAAAGAAACGAACAAAACCTCCAAGAAATATGGGACTATGTGAAAAGGCCAAATCTACGTCTGACTGGTGTACCTGAAAGTGACGGGGAGAATAGAACCAAGTTGGAAAATATTCTGCAGGATATTATCCAGGAGAACTTCCCCAACCAGCAAGGCAGGCCAACATTCAAATTCAGGAAATACAGAGAACGCCACAAAGATACTCCTCAAGAAGAGCAACTCCAAGACAGATAACTCTCAGATTCACCAAAGTTGAAATGAAGGAAAAAATGTTAAGGGCAGCCAGAGAGAAAGGTCGGGTTACCCACAAAGGGAAGCCCATCAGACTAACACGGATCTCTTGGCAGAAACTCTACAAGCCAGAAGAGAGTGGGGACCAATATTCAACATTCTTAAAGAAAAGAATTTTCAACCCAGAATTTCATATCCAGCCAAACTAAGCTTCATAAATGAAGGAGAAATAAAATCTTTTACAGACAAGCAAATGCTGAGAGATTTTGTCACCACCAGGCCTGCCCTAAAAGAGCTCCTGAAGGAAGCGCTAAACATGGAAAGGAACAACTGGTACCAGCCACTGCAAAAATATGCCAAATTGTAAAGACCATTGATGCTATAAAGAAACTGCAACAACTAACAAGTGAAATAACCAGCCAACATCATAATGACAGGATCAAATTCACACATAACAATATTAACCTTAAATGTAAATGGCTAAATGCTCCAATTAAAACACACAGACAGGCAAATTGGATAAAAAGTCAAGACACATCAGTGTGCTGCATTCAGGAAACCCATCTCATGTGCAGAGACACACATATGCTCAAAATAAAAGGATGGAGGAAGATCTACCAAGCAAATGGAAAACAAAAAAAAGCAGGGGTTGCAATCCTAGCCTCTGATAAAGCAGACTTTAAACCAAAAAAGATCAAAGGAGACAAAGAAGGCCATTACATAATGGTGAAGGGATCAATTCAACAAGAAGAGCTAACTGTCCTAAATATATATGCACCCAATACAGGAGCACCCAGATTCATAAAGCAAGTCCTTAGAGACATACAAAGAGACTTAGACTTCCACACAATAATAGTGGCAGACTTTAACACCCCACTGTCAACATTAGATAGATCAATGAGACAGAAAGTTAACAAGGATATCCAGGAATTGAACTCAGCTCTGCACCAAGCAGACCTAATAGACATCTATAGAACTCTCCACCCCAAATCAACAGAATATACATTCTTTTCAGCACCACATCGCACGTATTCCAAAACTGACCACATAGTTGGAAGTAAAGCACTCCTCAGCAAATGTAAAAGAACAGAAATTATAACAAACTGTCTCTCAGACCACACTGCAATCAAACTAGAACTCAGGATTAAGAAACTCACTCAAAACTGCTCAACTACATGGAAACTGAACAAGCTGCTCCTGAATGACTACTGGGTACATAACGAAATGAAGGCAGAAATAAAGTTGTTCTTTGAAACCAACAAGAACAAACACACAACATACCCGAATCTCTGGGACACATTTAAAGCAGTGTGTAGAGGAAAATTTATAGCACTAAATGCCCAAAAGAGAAAGCAGGAAAGATCTAAAATTGACACCCTAACATCACAATTAAAAGAACTAGAGAAGCAAGAGCAAACACATTCAAAAGCTAGCAGAAGGCAAGAAATAACAAAGATCAGAGCAGAACTGAAGGAAATAGAGACAAAAAAAAACCCTTCAAAAAATCAATGAATCCAGGAGCTGGTTTTTTGAACAGATCAAGAAAATTGATAGGCTGCTAGCAAGACTAATAAAGAAGAAAAGAGAGAAGAATCAAATAGATGCAATAAAAAATGATAAAGGGGATATCACCACCAATCCCACAGAAATACAAACTACCATCAGAGAGTATTATAAACACCTCTATGCAAATAAACTAGAAAATCTAGAAGAAATGAATAAATTCCTCGTCACATACACCCTCCCAAGACTAAACCAGGAAGAAGTTGAATCTCTGAATAGACCAATAACAGGCTCTGAAATTGAGGCAATAATTAATAGCTTACCAACCAAAAAAAGTCCAGCACCAGATGGATTCAGAGCCGAATTCTACCAGAGGTACAAGGAGGAGCTGGTACCATTCCTTCTGAAACCATTCCAATCAATAGAAAAAGAGGGAATCGTCCCTAACTCATTTTATGAGGCCAGCATCATCCTGATACCAAAGCCTGGCAGAGACACAACAAAAAAAGAGAATTTTAGACCAATATCCCTGATGAACATCGATGCAAAAATCCTCAATAACATACTGGCAAACCAAATCCAGCAGCACATCAAAAAGTTTATCCACCATGATCAAGTGGGCTTCATCCCTGGGATGCAAGGCTGGTTCACCATATGCAAATCAATAAATGTAATCCAGCATATAAACAGAACCAAAGACAAAAACCACATGATTATCTCAATAGATGCAGAAAAGGCCTTTGACAAAATTCAACAGCACTTCATGCTAAAAACTCTCAAGAAATTAGTTATTGATGGGACGTATCTCAAAATAATAAGAGCTATCTATGACAAAACCACAGCCAAGATCACACTGAATGGGCCAAAACTGGAAACATTCTCTTTGAAAATTGGCACAAGACAGGGATGCCCTCTCTCACCACTCCTATTCAACATAGTGTTGGAAGTTCTGGTCAGGGTAGTCAGGCAGGAGAAAGAAATAAAGGGTATTCAATTAGGAAAAGAGGAAGTCAAATTGTCCCTGTTTGCAGATGACATGATTATATATTTAGAAAACCCCATCATCTCAGCCCAAAATCTCCTTAAGCTGATAAGCAACTTCAGCAAAGTCTCAGGATACAAAATCAATGTGCAAAAATCACAAGCATTCCTATACACCAATAACAGACAAACAGAGAGCCAAATCATGAGTGAACTCCCATTCACAATTGCTAAAAAGAGAATAAATACCTAGGAATCCAACTTACAAGGGATGTGAAGGACCTCTTCAAGGAGAACTACAAACCACTGCTCAATGAAATAAAAGAGGACACGAACAAATGGAAGAGCATTCCATGCTGATGGATAGGAAGAATCAATATCATGAAAATGGCCATACTGTCCAAGGTAATTTAAGGATTCAGTGCCATCCCCATCAAGCTACCAATGACTTTCTTCACAGAATTGGAAAAAACTACTTTAAAGTTCATATGGAACCAAAAAAGACCCCACATTGTCAACTCAATCCTAAGCCAAAAGAACAAAGCTGGAGGCATCACGCTACCTGACTTCAAACTATACTACAAGGCTACAGTAACCAAAACAGCATGGTACTGGTACCAAAACAGAGATATAGAACAATGGAACAGACAGAGCCCTCAAAAATAATACCACACATCTACAACCATCTGATCTTTGACAAACCTGACAAAAACAAGAAATGGGGAAAGGATTCCCTATTTAATAAATGGTGCTGGGAAAACTGGCTAGCCATATGTAGAAAGCTGAAACTGCATCCCTTCATTACACCTTATACAAAAATTAACTCGAGATGGATTAAAGACTTAAATGTTAGACCTAAAACCATAAAATCCCTAGAAGAAAACCTAGGCAATACCATTCAGGACATAGGCATGGGCAAGGACTTCATGACTAAAACACCAAAAGCAAAGGCAACACAAGACAAAATTGACAAATGGGATCTAATTAAACTAAAGAGCTTCTGCACAGTGAAAGAAACTACCATCACAGTGAACAGGCAACCTGCAGAATGGGAGAAAATTTTTACAATCTACCCATCTGGCAAAGGGCTAATGTCAAGAATCTACAAAGAACTCAAACAAATTTGTGAGAAAAAAAATCAAACAACCCCATCAAAAAGTGGGCAAAGGATATGAACAGACACTTCTCAAAAGAAGACATTTATGCAGCCAACAGACACAAGAAAAAATGCTCATCATCACTGGCCATCAGACACTTGCAAATCAAAATCACAATGAGATACCATCTCACACCAGTTAGAATGGTGATCATTAAAAAGTCAGGAAACAACAGGTGCTGGAGAGGATGTGGAGAAATAGGAATGCTTTTACACTGTTGGTGGGACTGTAAACTACTTCCACCATTGTGGAAGACAGTGTGGTGATTCCTCAAGGATCTAGAACTAGAAATACCATTTGTCCCAGGAATCCCATTACTGGATATATATCCAAAGGATTATAAATCATGCTGCTATAAAGACACATGCACACGAATGTTTATTGTGGCACTATTCACAATAGCAAAGACTTGGAACCAACCCAAATGTCCATCAATGATAGACTGGATTAAGAAAATATGGCACATATACACCATGGAATACTATGCAGCCATAAAAAATGATGAGTTCATGTCCTTTGTAGGTACATGGATGAAGCTGGAAACCATCATTCTCAGCAAACTATCGCAAGGACAAAAAACCAAACACCGCATGTTCTCACTCATAGGTGGGAATTGAACAATGAGAACACTTGGACACAGGGTGGGGAACATCACATGCCTGTCATGGGGTAGGGGGAGTGGGGAGGGATAGCATTAGGAGATATACCTAATGTAAATGACGAGTTGACAGATGCAGCACACCAACATGGCACATGTACACATATGTAACAAACCTGCACGTTGTGCACATGTATCCTAGAACTGAAAGTATAATTTAAAAAAAATCAATATGTCAGTATGTTCGATTATTTGCCTTCTACTTTTAAACTTAACTTTCTTATAAAGCAACCTTTTTCCATCACCTGCTCTACCCTGACTCACTCTGATTACCTGCTCCACCCTGACTCATTTTGATTACCTCCTCCACCCTGACTCATTCTCCACCCTGACTCATTCTGATTTCCTGCTCTGCCATTACCATTTTCCCACCAAACCACTCACCCCATCACTCTCTTTAAATTAGCCAATCGGAATTAGATTAGCCTGTGTGGTCTAACCCTAGTCAATAGGGGAATGACACAGCAGCAGGGGCCACGTGCATCAGGAATAAGAACTCCTTCCCCTCCCTTGTCCAGGTGTATGCTCACCGTTGTTCCATCTGTGAGAGCGCACCCTTCTATAGAAGTAAATTGCCTTGCTGAGAAGAAAAAATGAAAACTTTTTATTCAAGTGCTATTTCTTTTGCAGCACCAAAACTTTATTTATAACACCAAGATAATTGAGGTATTCATAAGAGTATAAATGTTTTAAATGCATACATTCATTTGTTAATTCACTCCACACACATTTGCTAAGTATGTACTTTGTTTCAGCTACTATGCTAGGTGATGCTCACATCAGCAAAGCATGTGAGGGATGGTCCCTGCCCTGAGCAATAATTTACAGAAAGATGGATTAACATACACTAGTAAGTTATGTTACATGGAAATAAGCTCTCTGATAAATGAATAAGGAAAACATTATAGGAGTTGAGGTCTCCAAGCCCAGATCAAAAACAATTTAAGATATTAAAAAGACTTCTTAGATATAATTTTGAAAAAAAACTGCTGGTAATCTTTGAGAAATTATAACAACTAAAGATTTTTGTTTAGTGAACCAAACATGTCACAGAATTGCTCAAGCAGCTAATACAACCTTGGATTAAATTAATAATATATTGTTCCCCTGGTCAGACCATACCTAGAATTTTTCTGTTCACCATGTTTTAAATTAAATAAGCTCATTTGGAAGTTTGCCAAAATGAAATGGGTATCTAAAGAAAGGTGACTAGCATGAGGAGGGTTCTGGAAAGGAAGTTATTGTGAGTGACCATTGTGCCCTGATGTATGCCTAATGCTCTGTCATTCCATCCCATTATTACCCCCTTCCCCCTTTTCATTCTCTTTTTTTTTTTTTTTTTTTTTTTTTTTTTGAGGAGTCTTGCTCTGTCTCCCAGGCTGGAGTACAGTGGCATGATCTGGGCTCAATGCAACCTCCGCCTCCCGGGTTCAAGTGATTCTCATGCCTCAGCCTCCTGAGTAGCTGGGATTACAGGTGTGCACCACCACACCTGGCTAATTTTTGTATTTTTAGTAGAGACAGGTTTTCACCATGTTGGCCAGGCTGGTCTTGAACTCCTGATTTCAAGGATCTGCCTGCCTCAGACTCCCAAAGTGCTGGGATAGCAGGCGTGAGCCACTGTGCCTGGCCTTTTTTTTTTTTTTTTAACACAGAGTGTTGCTCTGTCTTCCAGGCTGAAGTGCAGTGGCATGATCGGCTCACTGCAACCTCTGCCTCCCAGGTTCAAGCAATTCTTCTGCCTCAGCCTCCCAAGTAGCTGGGGTTATAGGTATATGCCACCATGCTCAGCTAATTTTTGTATTTTTAGTGGAGATGGGGTTTCAGCATGTTCTTCAAGCTGGTCTCAAATTCCAACCTCAGGTGATCCACACGCCTCAGCCTCCCAAAGTGCTGGGATTACAGGCATGAGCCACTGTGCCTGGCCAGTTTGTTTTTAAAGAAGGAAGGGACCCACAAATATAAAAGTGCATAGGGTCTACAAAAGTTATAATGTGGCCCTGGTAATGAGTGGCTGAACTGGGATCCAAATGCAGAACCTATGCTCTCAACCTCTATATGAAAAGCAAACCAGCTAAGGGGACAAGAGAAAGATAGACTCAGAGCATCATGCTGGCTGTCTTCAGCTAGCCAGAGGGTGGCCATAGAAAGAGAGTACCTCTGTCCTTATTTGTTGTTTCATTTCTGCCTTTCTGCTTCAGCTGTGCTTACTGAAATCTTATCCAAGCTTCAAGATACAGCTGTTACTGTCTTTAGGATACTTTACCTAAACCACCTTTGCTGGAATCAGTTTCACTTTCTTCTGTACACCTGCAGCTCACCTTTGTACAGTCAGGCACTGCATAACACCATTTCAGTCAACAACATATCACATATATTATGGTGGTCCCATAGGATAATAATGAAGCTGAAAATTTCCTATCACCTAGAGATGTCATAACTATCATAACATCATAGTGAGAGGTGAAACCAGCTGAGCTTCTGGGTTGGATGGGGACTTGGAGAACTTTTGTGTCTAGCTAAAGGATTGTAAATGCACCAATCAGCACTCTGGGTCTAGCTAAAGGATTGTAAATGCACCAATCAGCACTCTGTAAAATCACACCAATCAGCACTCTGGGTCTAGCTAAAGGATTGTAAATGCACCAATCGGCGCTCTGTAAGATGGACCAATCAGTGCTCTGTAAAATGGACCAATCAGCAGGGTGTGGGTGGGGCCAAATAAGGGAATAAAAACTGGCCACCTGAGCCAGCAACGGCAACCTGCTTGTGTCCCCTTCCACGCTGTGGAAGCTTTGTTCTTTCACTCATCACAATAAATCTTGCTGCTGCTCACTCTTTGGGTCTGCACTACCTTTGTGAGCTGTAACACTCACTTTGAAGGTCTGTGGCTTCACTGCTGAAGTCAGCGAGACCACAAACCCACCAGGAGGAGCAAACAACTCCAGACACACCAACTTTAAGAGCTGTAACACTCACTGCGAAGGTCTGCGGCTTCACTCCTGAAGTCAGCAAGACCACGAACCCACTAGAAGGAAGAAACTCTGGACACATCCAAACATTAAGAACTGTAACATTCACTGTGAGGGTCCGTGGCTTCATTCTTGAAGTCATCAAGACCAAGAACCCACCAGAAGGAACCAATTCTGGACAGAATAGCACAATGCGTTACGCACGTATTTGTGGTGATGCTGAAGTAAACAAACCTACTGTGCTGCCAGTAGGTTTGCACACACCATTGTATACAGTACATATTACTTGATAATGATGATAAACAACTATGTTACTGGTTCACGTATTTACCGTACTGTCCTTCCCATCATTATTTTAAAGTGTACTCCTTCTACTTATATATAAAAAAGTTAACTGTAAAACAGCCACAGGCAGGTCCTTCAGTAGGTATTCCAGAAGAAGGCATTTTTATCATAGTAGGTGACAGCTCCATGCATGTTCTTTTACCCCCAAAGACCTTCCAGTGGGACAAGATATGAAGGCAGAAGATAGTGATATTGATGATCCTGACCCTGTGTAGGCCTAGCCTAATGTGTGTGTGTCTTTTTTTTTTTTTTTTTGAGACAGTCTTACTCTGTCGCCCAGGCTGGAGTGCAGTGGCCTGACCTTTGCTCACTGCAACCTCTGACTCCTGGGTTCAAGTGATTCTCCTGCCTCAGCCTCCAGAGTGGCTGGGATTACAGGTGCCCACCACCACACCTGGCTAATTTTTGTATTTTTTTTACTAGAGACAGGGTTTCACCATGTTGGTCAGGCTGGTCTCGAACTCCTGACCTCAAGTGATCCACCTGCCTCAGCCTTGTGTCTTTGTTTTTTTTTTTTTTTTGTTTTTTTTTTTTTTTGAGACGGAGTCTCGCTCTGTCGCCCAGGCCAGACTGCGGACTGCAGTGGCGCAATCTCGGCTCACTGCAAGCTCCGCTTCCCGGGTTCACGCCATTCTCCTGCCTCAGCCTCCCGAGTAGCTGGGACTACAGGCGCCCGCCACCGCGCCCGGCTAATTTTTTGTATTTTTAGTAGAGACGGGGTTTCACCTTGTTAGCCAGGATGGTCTCGATCTCCTGACCTCATGATCCACCCGCCTCGGCCTCCCAAAGTGCTGGGATTACAGGCGTGAGCCACCGCGCCCGGCCCGTGTCTTTGTTTTTAACAAAAAAGTTTAAAAAGTAAAAATAAAATATTTTAAAATAGAAAAAAGCTTATAGAATAAAGATACATAGAAAGAAAATATTGCTGGGCACAGTGGCTCACACCTGTAATCCCAGCACTTTGGGAGGCTGAGGCAGGCAGATCACGAGGTCAGAAGTTCAAGACCAGCCTGGCCAACATAGTGAAACCCTATCTCTACTAAAATTACAAAAATTAGCTGGTCATGGTGGTGGGCGCCTGTAGTCCCAGCTACTTGGGAGGCTGAGGAAGGAGAGTCGCTTGAATCCGGGAGGTGGATGTTGCAGTGAGCTGAGATCATGCCATTGCACTCCAGCCTGGGCGACACAGTGAGACTCTGTCTTAAAAAAAAAAAAAAAGAAGATGAAGAAAGAAAATATCAAATATTTTGTAGTGCTGTACAAGGTGTTTGTCTTTTAAGCTAAGTGTCAGTACAAAAGGGTCAAAAGTGAAAAATATTTAAAAGTTTATAAAGTAAAAAAGTTACAATAAGCTAAGGTTAATTTATAATTATTATTATGATTATTTAAAAGAGACTTACTCTGTTGCCCATGCTGGAGTGCAATGGCATGATCAGCTCACAGTAAACTAAAAGTCCTGGGCTCAAGCAATCCTCCCACCTCAGCCTCCCGAGTGGCCTGGACTACAGGCACCCCGCTATTTAAAAAAGTTTTTTTGTAGAGACAGGGTCTCACTATGTTGTCCAGGCTGGTCTTGAACTCCTGACCTCTAGTGATCCTCACGTTTCATCCTCCCTAAATGCTGAAATTACAAGTGTGAGCCTGTGGCAGGCCAGGTCTCACTAACATAGGCCTCCTTAACAAGTGTTTCAGCACTGACTGAGTGGTTAAGTTAAATATTAAAAGCTAAAAGAGCCAGTGCCCTTATACAAAGGCTGAGATGTAACAAAAGTCCACCAAGAGTTTTGCCTAGGCCCTCCTAGGCCTTGAAGCATGACAAAATAATGAAGGAATTCTTAACAGAACCTGTTTAGGATTAAACAAGTTTTATTGGGGGTCTGAAGAAACTCCCCAGACCTCCACAAACAAGTTTATTGGGGGTCTGAAGGAACTCCCCAAATCTCCATGATTTAGCCAGAGACAAGATAAGGGTAATCACTCCAGCACCTGGACCCATTTAGATTGAATAAATTTACTGAGGTTCCAGAGGAAGGTCTTCAGGACTCAGACCTTAGTTATAAATTAAAAGAAGTTAATCACTTATTTCTTTAGATAAATGCACACTTACACGTAGAAATACAGCTTAGAAGGTATATAAGCGCTGGAAAACTTTGTAATTTTGAGTTGATCTGGCAATATTTTCTAGGCCTTCTCTGTAACCAGGTACAGAGATAAAAACTCCCTCCTTTCCCAGTTCATCTGTATCTCGTTAGCCTGTGAGAATAAGCAGCCCGACCCTTGGTTTGGTCCGGGAACAAGCTACCACACCCAGCCTCATTTATTATTGAATAAATAAAATTTTAAAAATAAATTTAGCAAAGCCTAAATGTACAATGTGTATAAAGTCTACAGTAATATACACTACTATGTCCCAGGCCTTCACATTCACTCACCACTCACTGACTCAGCCAGATCAACTTCCAGTCCTGTAGGCTCCATTCAAGGTAAGTGCCCTATACAGGTATACCATTTTTTGTCTTCTATACTATATTTTGACTGTACATTTTCTATATTTAGGATATGTTTAGATACACAAACACTGACCATTGTGTTCCAATTGTCTACAGTATCCAGTACAGTCATATGCTGTAAAGGTTTGTAGCCTAGGAGCAATAGACTATGATATATAGGCTAGGTGTGTGGCAGGCTATACCATTTAGGTTTGTGTAAGTACACTCCATAATGTTCACACAAGGACAAAATCATATAGTAATGCATTTTCGGAACATATCCTCATTGTTAAGTGATGCGTGACTGTAGTCACATTATAGCATGTAGCATAGTCTGCCATATATAGTAGCCATTATATGAATGTTTATTTCTCTTAAGAGTCCATAAGGTACAGGGTATATCCTTTTCTTTGTATATACCAAATAGAATGGTTTGAACGTAATACAAGTTCAGCAAACACGAGCTGAGAATATTTTCTTCCCCAGCTTCCCCAGTTTATTGTTAAGTTAAACTTCTTAACAATCAGAGACAATCCATATTGGAATGATCTACTTTTGAGATACCAAGCTCCTGACACTGAAAATTTTCAAGCAGGGCAGGGAGGGCATACAAAGGATTCCTCTATTGGTTGGAAGGTTGGACTAAAAGTCCATTAATTGCCTTTCCAACTCTGAGTCTGTGGTTTTAGAATTCTTCTTGTAGCCTCAAGAAGCAGCACAGTATTATGGCTGAAAGTATGGGGTCTGGAGCTAGACTGCAAAGGTTTAACTCTGGGCTCTGCCACTTATTGACTTTGTAGCCTTGGGTAAACATTTCACCTCTCAGAGCCTCAATATCTTCATCTGTAAAATGGGGATAATAATTGTACCCACTGCATAACATTGTTATGAGGATTAAATGAGTTAATACAGGTAAAATATTTAGAACAGCACCTAGCACAAAGTAAGAACTATGTAAAAGCTTTTCAAATAAATAAATATATTTATGATTGCTTTTCTGCCCCCTTAACTTTGTCCACTTATATTTTGAAATCCAAAGCTGAAGCTTTAAGAAACCTGGACAAAAGTATAGCCCAAAGAAAGCTGAATTCCCTACTCCGGTACCTATAGTCCCTGATAATATGACCCCATATCATTCTTGCTATTTGAACAGCTTTGCAAGGACCTTCTTTTGCCCATCTGAAACGTCAGAATCCTATTTCAGAACCTAAGGAGAAGGGGAGACATGCTAATCCCTTTCTTGTTTTCTTGGTCAGTGTCGGTGTTGCTGCAGCTGAGGAGAGAGGCCATTTCTCCTACTCTCCCCTGTCTCCAAAGAAAAAGGAGGAAGTGAAAACTGAAAAATAATAGACTGATTGGGGCCACTGGCCAGGCCTGTAGGTTAAAGATTAATCCCCACCCTAACCACTTGTGCTATCTATAGATCACAGAAAATGGTATGGAAAAATACTTGCCTTGCTCACAATCCTCACCTAGTCACCTACCCCATGCTTGCTCAATCTATCCCGACCCTTTCACATGGACCCCTTAGAGTTGTAAGCCCTTAAAAGGGCCAGGAACTCTTTCTTTGGGGAGCTCGGTTCTTGAGACGCAAGTCTGCCAATGCTCCCGGCCAAATAAAGCCTCTTCCTTCTTTAGCCCTGTGTCTGAGGGGTTTTGTCTGCGGCTCATCCTGCTACACAGTAAGAAGAGGCTCCCTCATCTTTTGATCTAAGATGTACTTTCTGGTTTGGCAGATGGTCAAGAAAACTAGATTCCAGTCTTAGCTACAGTGAGTCATCTGGAGCAAATCGTTTATTTGCCCTGCATCGATATGTCCATCAGAAGGATCTCACTTCAGCCTGGCTGGCTTTCAAAACCAACAGCATTAATGTGAGGGTCAGGGAAGTGACAACTCTGGTGATCATAGAAGAAGAAAAGGGCCATGCACAGTGGCTCACGCCTGTAATCCCAGCACTTTGGGAGGCCAAGGTGAGTGGATCATCTGAGGTCAGGAGTTGAAGACCAACCTGGCCAACATGGTGAAACCTCGTCTCTACTAAAAATACAAAAATTAGCTAGGTGTAGTGGCTCACACCTGTAATCCCGACCACTTGGGAGGCTGAGGCAGGAGAATCACTTGAAGCCAGGAGGCAGAGGATGCAGTGAGCTGAGATCACGCCATTTCACTCCAGCCTGGGCGACACAGCAAAACTCTGTCAAAAAAAAAACAAAAAACAAAAAACAAGAAGAAAAAGCCAGGCATGGTGGCTCATGCCTGTAATCCCAGCACTTTGGGAGGCTGAGGCAGGTGGATCACCTGAGGTCAGGAGTTCAAGACCACACTGGCCAACATGGTGAAACCCTGTCTCTACTATAAATACAAAAATCAGCCAGGCTTGGTAGCACTCACCTGTAGTCCCACCTACATGGGGGGCTGAGGCAGAAGAATAACTCAAACATGGGAGGTGAAGGCTGCAGTGAGCAGAGATCGTGCCACTGCACTCCAGCCTAGGCAACAGAGTTAGACTCTATCTCAAAAAAAAAAAAAAAAGAAGAAGAAGAAGAAAAGCTCCCTCAAATCATGCATATCCAAGTTCAAATCCTGGTTCTGCCTGACATTGTGTCTCCTTGGGGAAGTCAGATCACATAAAGCTCAGTCTTATCTGTAAAAGGCAATAAGAATCTCACAAGATTTTTGTAAGGATTAAATATGGTGAGATAAGAAATGTAAATATCTAGCACACAGTCCTGCAGTTGATGTTACCATATGTACCTGTATTCAATATACTTTCCGCCAAATGTATATGTACATTACTCAGTGTCTATAGCATACTGTTATTATGACAGGAAGCCAAGAGAAGGAGATATGAAATGACAGATTGGCTTAACTGCAAACACAAGTTTGTATTATCTCACCACTGCTCCAGAATTCAATATTTAAATGAATGAACTAAATTTTGCCCCTGAAAAACACTATTAAATCACTTTTAAAACAAGTATGATAAAGAGTTGAGACCCCCCCCACCAACACACACACACACACACACAAATTCACTGTGTAATGGAGATAGTTTTACTGTCTTGTGCATCTTAAACATTGGCAAATGTAGGTAGTCTCCCCTCATTGGTCCTTCCCTCATCCCTGCCTGTCCCCTTAACATTTTGAGTGATAACAGGCATTGTTCCTGTTCTAAAATGTAGAAATGAAAGCAAAAGAAGCCCAAGGTCATATACCACGTGTCTAATGGAGTTGGGCATAATAGGGAGAAGGTGAAAGAACTAAAATAACTAGAGATGCCTAGTTTGAAATAGAGAAGGTTCAGGGGCTAACATAACTGTATCTTGGCAACCATCATCCACCATTCACTATTTCTGCAGAACCTCTTCTTCCAGGCCTCTGTACAAAGAAGGCCAACTGCTTCTTCTAGATTTTTATTTATTTTTTATTTTTAATTAATTAATTAATTATTGAGATAGAGCCTCACTCTGTTGCCCAGGCTGGAGTGCAGCAATGCGATCTCAGCTCACTGCAACCTCCACCTCCCAGGTTCAAGCAATCCTCCTGCCTCAGCCTCCCGAGTAGCTGGGATCACAGATGTGTGCAACCATGCCCAGCTACTTTTTGTATTTTTAGTAGAGACGGGGTTTCACCATGTTGGCCAGGCTGGTCTCCAACTCCTGACCTCAACCAATCCGCCCGCCTTGGCCTCCCAAAGTACTGGGATTACAGGCATGAGCCACCGTGCCTGGCCTTCTAGAGTTTTTGTTTTGTTTTGTTTTGTTTTGCTTTGTTTTGTTTTTTGAGACAGAGTCGCACTCTGTCACCCAGGCTGGAGTGCAGCGGTGCAATCTTGGCTCACTGCAACCTCCGCCTCCCAGGTTCAAACGATTCTCCTGCCCCAGGCTCCCGAGTAGCTGGGATTACAGGTGCGTGCCACCACGCCTGGCTAATTTTTGTGTTTTTAGCAGAGACAGGGTTTCACCATGTTGGTCAGGCTGGTCTTGAACTCCTGACCTCTTGATCTGTCCACCTTGGCCTCCCAAAGTGCTGGGATTATAGGCATGAGCCACCACACCTGGCCTAGATTTTTAAGGGAGGAGAGAGATGGGGGACCAATAGCCAGACAGACCCTAACTTCTCTATCAAGAAGCACAGCCATCACTTTTTAACTCGGCCTCAATTCCATCACAGAGACAGGCCCTGGGCCAGGAAACTCCATGTAATCCTAAAACTCCAACCTATAATCCCAACAAGGAGATGAAAGGCCCATGACAAAAACTTCCCATAATCCCAAGTAACTTGCCCCTAAGGAGAGAATGTGCTTGTGGTTCTCAATCCTGCCTGAACATCAGAGTTATCTAGGGATACTGGGCCCCATCCCAGAATTTCTATTTTAAAACAAACAACTTGGGTATGCAGCCCAGGTTGAGAACTAAAGCTCTTAACCCAGTAGTTCTCAAACAATAGCATGAATCAGAATCATGCTGGAAGGCTTGTTGAACTGTGAATTGCTGGGCTCCACCGTAGAAGCTGTAGATTCACTTGTCTGGAGAGCAGCCCAAGAACTTGAATTTTCATCAATTTCCCAGGTGATGTTGATGTTACTGGTTCCAGAGACCACACTCTGTAAACAACTGGCATAACCTATCAGAGTTTGGCCTTGATATCTTTTTTCTTTTCTTTTCTTTTCTTTTCTTTTCTTTCTTTTCTTTTCTGTTTTAGACAGAGTCTCACTCTGTCGCCCAGGTTGGAGTGCCACGGCATGATCTTGGTTCACTGAAACCTCCATTTCCCAGGTTCAAGCAAGTCTCATGCCTCAGCTAGTAGCTGGGATTACAGGCATGCGCCACCATGCCCAGCTAATTTTTGTATTAGGTTATTGCAAAAGTAATTGTGGCTTTTGCCATTAAAAGTAATATTTTTAGTAGAGACGAGTTTTCACTATGTTGGCCAGGCTGGTCTCGAACTCCTGGCCTCAAGTGATCTGCCTGCCTTGGCCTCCCAGAGTGCTAGGATTGCAGGCATGAGCCACCGTGCCTGGCCCGGCCTTGATTTCTAACAATTCCCATGGCTTCCTCCTCAGTTTGCCCCTGCACCAAATCATTGCTGAGGATATTAGAACTAACCCCAACCCTCAGTTATCAAGTCAGTCTCTACCTTGTGTATCACTACAGAAAATAATCAGCTCACAACCCTCCCAAGGTCACCACAGCTTAAGCAGAGGGAAACACAAACACACACATCCCTCAAGCTAAATTTTCCCCTCAACACTGAAACCTTCACAACTGGCTTCTGAAGAGAAGGGCTGACCCATCAGGGAATAGCAGTCTTTGACCTCACTCTTTCACTGGAGCCTACATAATACAGAGTGCACAGATTTGTCAGCAGTCAAATCAAACACTTTTCCAGCAGGAGATAAACTTAACTCTGAGATCAGAAACCTCATCTTGTCACACTTACGAGGTTTATCATACCTCATGAGAACTTCTGAGTTTCTTTCCAAGGCTGATGACCCCATTGCTTTTGCCAGCATCCTTCAAAGGCATTGTGAACTTGTAGACAGGGGCAGAGAATAAGGGTCTGTGGAAAGCTCAAAATGTGTAATGGAGTCATAGTGAGAGTTTAAAAAAAAAACATGACTCATATGGAACTCATGACTCACTCTCATGAGGAGTGTGACATTCCTTCAAATAACGCCTTATACCATCTGTGAAAAGGGACTTTAAGAGTCTCAGTCAAAAGCTCATTATAGGCCAGGCACAGAGGCTCATGCCTGTAATCCCAGCACTTTAGGAGGCAGAGGTGGGTGGATCACCTGAGGTCAGGAGTTTGAGACCAGCCTGGCCAACATGGCAAAACCCCATTTCTACTAAAAATACAAAAAATTAGCTGGGCATGGTGGTGGGTGCCTGTAATCCCAGCTACTTGGGAGTCTGAGGCAAGAGAATCGCTTGAACCCGGGAGGCGGAGGTTGCAGTGAGCCGAAATTGCACCATTGCACTACAGCCTGGGCAACAGAGCAAGACTCTGTCTCAAAAAAAAAGCTTGCTATAAAGTGTAAATAGCTTATTTTTTAAAAAATATTCTAGGCTTTCTCTGTGGAAGTGGAAGGAATGGATACTTCCATTTCCACCCTTGGCAGTTTTTTGACAGTGCTACTATTTAGCATTAGCGTGGGAATGGAAGAAATGAGAAAGGAGGTGACCCAGGGTCCATACTCTAGTCTAAGGGATCTAATGGAACTTGATGCCCAGAAAAAGCACTTCAGAATTGCTTAGCATTGACAATTTTCAGTCTTGTCACACGATTTTCCATGACGTTTTACAGAAGAGAAAAGGAGGCCCAGAGAAGTAGTGAGACTGGAGGACAGGAGAGTTCCCTGACTCCCTCAAGGGACTTGCAAGGGTGTGGGTGGGGGGACTCATTTTGCTCAAATTGACCTCAAACCCCTTGAGGGAGGGGGAGCACGCAGGTGAGTGGGTGCAGGAGCCAGGTCAAGTGCCTTTAGATGCTGGCAGGAACAAATCCTGTACCAGCTTGCAACAGTGTCTAGCAGTTGCCCATGACCTCTGGAGCCCCAGAAGATGTGCGTTATAAATAATGCCCTTTTAGCAGTTGCCATCTGTGGACAAATGGCTTCCCTGAAGCCTGGCCTTCTTCCTGCTCCATCCCCCTTTCAGCTCCCCTTCTGCTGAGGGCCACTTCCACTGCTTAATAAAGTCTTCACATTCAACACTCTTCAAGTCCATGTGACCTGATTCTTCCTGGACACTTGACAAGAACCCAGTTACCAAGAGGGTATGTATGACTGAAATTCAAATCCAAGCCTCCTGACCTCAAATCCAGTGCTCTTACCACCTCAGCAGAGGTGGTGCAAAACAGAACTTGATGCCTGTTCCCCAAAGGCTACTGCATAGACTGTGGGTAATTTGAGCCCAGAGTTCTGTGTAGAATTCTACCTGCTCCTTTTAACTGCCTGCTCCTGGCATATCTGAGGTGTGGTGAAACCCAATCAAGAATGACTGCAGTGGTCAAAATGGAAATTAACCCTAAACTTGTATATGCTGTCTTAGAGAGTTTATTAGACTGAGCTTGGAATTACATTTTTAAAGCATTATAATAACTTGTATAGCAGATTTTGCACAGTAGTTACGGCAACACCCATCTTGGGATGTATGTGGGGACCTCAAACTCTTAAGAAATGCTTAAGCTGCTGGGTATGGGCAGAAAGGTATAAGTATCAGGGATCAGAGGCTTATTGGGCAATATTAAAATAAATGCTTGTCTGCCTCTATGTAATGCCAGTGTCTATGGTGGAATTTCTGAAGTGAGTTACTTTGAAGAAAAAATTATTTTTTCTTGATCCCTCAGTCTCTAGCAATGCTATCTATTTCTTGGTACCATTCTGAGAAACCAAGGACTTCTTCCCATAATGCCCTGTATATTGCTGGGATGCAATCAAGAGTCAAGGAAAACAACATACCTGTTAGAAGCTCTTGGTACATGTGATGGTTAATACTGAGTGTCAACTTGATTGGATTGAAGGAGGCAAAGTATTGATCCTGGGTGTGTCTGCGAGGGTGTTGCCAAAGGAAATTAACATTTGAATCAGTGGGCTGTGGAAGGCAGACCCACCCTTAATCTGGTGGACACAATCTAATCAGCTGCGAGTGAATATAAAGCAGGCAGAGAAATGTGAAAAGGCAAGACTGGTCTAGTGTCCCAGCCTACATCTTTCTCCTGTGTTGGATGCTTCCTGCCTTCAAACATTGGACTCCAAGTTCTTCAGTTTTGAGACTCAGACTGGCTCTCCTTTCTCCTCAAGCTTGCAGACAGCCTATTGTGGGACCTTGTGATCACGTAAGTTAATAAACTCAGATATATATATATATATCCTATTAGTTCTGTCCCTATAGGGAACCCTGACTAATACAGTACACTTGGTACACGTTCCTGTTGTTCCTCCTTCTGTAGTCAGATTTTTTCTAAAATAAGGACCTTCTCTTGGGAATCTTCAAAGCCTTATGATGGTTGCTCTCACATATCAATCAGCAATCAAGATGATTGATTCACATATCTCTTCAGACACCTCTTAGGACATGTGGCCAAAGGCAAGAAGCATTCTCTTCCTTTTCAGATTTCATCTTTTTCTCCAGGCTCTGGGGAGCTTCTTCGCAAGTGTCAAAATCCTGCTTGTCATGTGTTACAAAAGCAAACAGGTTTCTAATGAGATTTCACCTTCTGCCCATTACAGATTCCTCCAGATTTCTTGCTCCCTGGAAGCTCTTGGGGTTGCTCAGCTGGTTCAGGCCCTGTTTTGGGAGCAGTTCCAGCAAATGTGCCTAGAATTGCACAGTTGACTGGTAGAGAGAGGCCTGTCTTCCCCTCTTTCCTTCCTGAAACCAGTGTGCTACTTTTACCTCTAGGTTCCAGCTGTGTTCAAGTCTTGTGACCAGGCTGTCTCACCTTACTCCTTTCCCATCTGACCCTTTAATTCTACCACAAATTTGGCTGCCTATCTGAAGAGATTTTCCATTTTGTCCACATTTAGTTTGGTTTAGGGTACAGAATTTGTTTTTTCCCCTAAAATTATCCCCAAGAGAAGCTTGCGAGGAGACTGAATCCTTAAACTGCCATGCAATCAACAACTGATTTGAGACAACTACTATATAGAGGGAAGAAGAAACACACAAAAACCCAGTTACAGGGCCAGCCCTTGGCAGAACTGAGAAATTTCTAGCCAGGTCTTGGTAGTTTAACCTTCACATATCTCTATTGTATCAGGGACCAAAATTGCCTTCTACCAGGTATGTCACCCTCCAGAAACTTGGGGATGCACCTCCCTTTGATAGCCCAGTGCTCCTCACATTTTTTTTTTTTTTTTTTTTTTTTTAGACAGAGTCTCGATCTGTCTCCCAGGCTGGAGTGCAGCGGCACAATCTTGGCTCATTGCAACCTCCGCCTCCCGGGTTCAAGTGCTTATCCTGCCTCAGCCTCCTGAGTAGCTGGCATTAAAGGTGCCACCCACCACACCCAGCTATTTTTTTTTTTTTTTAAGTAGAGACAGGGTTTCACCATGTTGACCAGGCTGGTATTGAACTCCTGACCTCAGGTGATCTGCTCGTCTCGGCCTCCCAAAGTGCTGAGATTACAGGCGTGAGGGCACCCGGCCTGGGTTTTTTTGTTTGTTTGTTTGTTTTGTTTTGTTTTGTTTTGTTTTTGTTTTTGTTTTGAGACAGTTTTATTCTTGTTACCCAGGCTGGAGTGCAATGGCACCATCTCGGCTCACTGCAACCTCTGCCTCCCGGGTTCAAGCGATTCTCCTGCCTCAGCTTCCCAAGTAGCTGGGATTACAGGTGCTCACCACGATGCCTGGCTAATTTTTCTATTTTTAGTAGAGACGGGGTTTCACCCTGTAGGCCAAACTGGTCTCAAACTCCTAACCTCAGGTGATCCACCTGCCTCAGCCTCCCAAAGTGCTGGGATAACAGGTGTGAGCCACTGTGCCCAGCCCACTTTTAAGCACTGGAGCCACAAGGTTTTAGTAAAGGTGTAGTTCAAAAAAAGAGATGAAGATGGAATCATATATTCTGCAATAACTTCATAATGGGGAGGAGGTGAGCTACCCCCAGACAAGGTCTTTTGTTTGTGGATGAGGAGACATTCTCTACCAGGATCCATGAGATTTGTGGCAGTGTCCTCATTAGGGGTGGGAGAGGGACTCTCTTTTAGCTTTTTAACACTCTTGCTCATACTATGTATCCTCTCTTGTTTTCTAATAATTATAATAGCTAATAGTGAAAAGTATAGCACATATATCGTACCAGACATTGTAATAAGTGCTTTATATGCATTTACCCAGGTAACAAACAACTCTATGTGGTAAATATTATCACTGTCTCAGTTTTTAGATGAAGAAACTAAGGCGTGGAATGATTAAGTGGCTCAAGGACACCTAGCCAGTGAGGAGCAGAGCTGTTATGGCATGCCCCATTCGTCCAAGCTCCTATGTGGCTTCTGTTGATCCAATGTACTGTCTGCTGGTGGGTTAGGCTAGTGCATTCTTCTCTTTGGGAACCTGGATCTCTCTTGCTCATGGCACTGCCAGCTTTTCTGAACACTCTGGATATGCTTTGAGGCCTATGCCTTAAAAAAAATTACTTGTTTTGGCTGAGACAATTTAGAAAACCGCAAACTTTTTTTAAAACAATTACAGTCACACTAAGTGATACCACTCCTAAAACTGTCTTTTCATTAATTGTTCTGGGAATACTATTCCCTATCAGACTTTCATTCATGAAAAGGTCTTTAGAAGCTTACCAGTAAGATATCCTCCCCTTCTTTGCCACTCAGAGACGACTTCTTTATGAATTTTCTTCTAGAAACCATTTGTGCTTAGTTCTCCCAATTAAGTTACCAAGAAAGGTTGAAGTGAAAGCCAGCCATACTTTAGCCCATTTTGTAAGTAATTTATGAAATAACTTCAAGTGCTAGTGAGTGCTATTTTTTGCAGGTGAATATACCAGAATGCTGAACTGGACACTCTCAGAATTGCACATTCTTCCAACCAAGCACAGCCTATAAACCAATGAAGTCTGATGCCACAAAGAAGAAACATTTATTTGAATGCACTGTTTTATCTCCCTAAAATAATAAAATGAATTCTATTTTTGTCAGATGCTTAATCAGTAGACAACTCCCTCCTCCCTCTCCTGGGTCTGAGATGAGGCCATCTAATTTCCCAGTCTGCCCTACTGGAGAAATACCTGGAGGGAGGAAGAAGAAGGGAAAATGGCAGATTGAGGATTGATTTATTTATGGTACTGCGATAACTCTTCCTGGAAACAGAAATGGGTGTGGGAAATGACCTCTTCTTTACTTCTCCCCTATTGAATCCACTGACAATGAAGGTGTCACTGCATGGTCTTTCAAGAACAGGATCAAGGTATGGGATTTCTTGTAAGTAGTACTTTTTTGTTTTATTTCATGAGAAAATAAAGGGAAGACATAAAGAAATTAGATAGGAAGCCCCAGAGAGCATGTCCTCTAGATGGTGAATAATAATTCCATTCTCCTTGCTTGCGATTTGCTTAGGAATAGGTATGTGATGTGATTCTGACCAATAAGACACCAGGTGGATTCTTCTTGGGCTTCTGGGAATGTTTTCTTACCCTTAAAAAGTGGCACAAATAAGATACTGCTACACATCTATTTAAAACATCTTAGTTTGCTGGTAAAGATGTGAAGCAACTAGAACTCTTCTATAGCATTGGTGGAAATGTAAAATGGTACAGCCACCCTGAAAAACAGGGTGTTTCTTATAAACATATACTTTCCATGTGATCTAGCAATTGTACTCCTGGGTATTTACCCAGGGTTTCTCAATCTTGGCACTGCTGACATCTCAGGCCGGCTAACTCATTGTTGTGGGACGCAGACTGATAAGGTTTGGCTGTGTCCCCACCCAAAATCTTATCTTGAATTGTAATCCCCGTAGTCCCTATAATCCCTGCGTGGCAAGGGAGAGGCCAGCTGGAGGTAACTGAATCATGGGGCTGTTTCCCCTGTGAAAGAAAAATATCTTGGGCCCCCAGGATCACTAAGGAAAACTCAAGCTAGAAAATGCTTAGGGGAATATGCGGTGTTTGGTTTTTTGTTCTTGCGATAGTTTACTGAGAATGATGGTTTCCAATTTCATCCATGTCCCTACAAAGGACATGAACTCATCATTTTTTATGGCTGCATAGTATTCCATGGTGTATATGTGCCACATTTTCTTAATCCAATCTATCATTGTTGGACATTTGGGTTGGTTCCAAGTCTTTGCTATTGTGAATAGTGCCACAATAAACATACGTGTGCATGTGTCTTTATAGCAGCATGATTTATAGTCCTTTGGGTATATACCCAGTAATGGGATGGCTGGGTCAAATGGTATTTCTAGTTCTAGATCCCTGAGGAATCGCCACACTGACTTCCACAATGGTTGAACTAGTTTACAGTCCCACCAACAGTGTAAAAGTGTTCCTATTTCTGCACATCCTCTCCAGCACCTGTTGTTTCCTGACTTTTTAATGATTGCCATTCTAACTGGTGTGAGATGATATCTCATAGTGGTTTTGATTTGCATTTCTCTGATGGCCAGTGATGATGAGCATTTCTTCATGTGTTTTTTGGCTGCATAAATGTCTTCTTTTGAGAAGTGTCTGTTCATGTCCTTCGCCCACTTTTTGATGGGGTTGTTTGTTTTTTTCTTGTAAATTTGTTTGAGTTCATTGTAGATTCTGGATATTAGCCCTTTGTCAGATGAGTAGGTTGCGAAAATTTTCTCCCATGTTCACTCATAGGTGGGAATTGAACAATGAGATCACATGGACACAGGAAGGGGAATATCACACTCTGGGGACTGTGGTGGGGTCGGGGGAGGGGGGAGGGATAGCATTGGGAGATATACCTAATGCTAGATGACACGTTAGTGGGTGCAGCGCACCAGCATGGCACATGTATACATATGTAACTAACCTGCACAATGTGCACATGTACCCTAAAACTTAGAGTATAATAAAAAAAAAAAAAAAAAAAAAAAGAAAATGCTTAGGGGAAATCTGCCTCCCATTCTATTCAAAGTCACTCCTCTGCTCACTGAGATAGATGTATATCTGATTTGCCTCCTTTAGAAAGGCTAATCAGAAACTCAAAAGAATGTAACCATTTGTGTATCACCTACCTGTCACCTGGAAGCTCCCTCCCCCTTCCAGTCTTCCTACCTCTGCTTCAAGTTGTACCGCCTTTCCAGATGGAATCAATGTACTCCTTACGTATATTGATTGATGTCTCATTTCTCCCTAAATGTATAAAACCAAGCTGTTCCCTGACCACCTTGGGCACATGTCATCAGGACTTCCTGAGGCTGTGTCACAGGTGTGTCCTCAACCTTGGCAAAATAAACTTTCTAAATTAACTGAGACCTGTCTCAAATTTTCAGGGTTCACACCCCCATGCTGTTCTCATGATAGTGAGTTCTCACAAGATCTGATGGTTTTATGAGTGCTAGGTATTTCCTCCTGTGGTCCTTTTCCTTCCTACCTACCATCCTTCACCTTGTGAAGAAGATATCTTGCTTCTCCTTCGCCTTCTGCCATGTAAGACGTACCTGCTTCCCCTTCACCTTCCACCATGATTGTAAGTTTCCTGAGACCTCCCCAGCCATGCTGGACTGTGAGTCAATTAAACCTCTTTGCTTTATAAATTACCCAGTCTCAGATATTTCCTTATAGCACTGTAAGAACAGACTAATACACAGACCCATGCACTGTAGAATGTTTAGCAGCATCCCTAGCCTCTATCCACTAGAGGCCAGTAGCACTGCCCCCACCCCAAGTCTCTAGATATTGTCAAATATCCCTTGGTGGGGGCAAAATAGTCCCCAGTGAAGAACCACATCCCTAGAAAAATGAAAACTTATCTTCAGAAAAAAAATCTGTACCCAAATGTGTATAGGGGTTCTAATCATAATTGCCAAAAACTGGAAACAACCCAAATGTCCTTCAGTGAGCGAATGGCTAAACAAATGGTGGAAATCTATTCAATGAATTAACACTCAGCAATAAAAAGGAAAGAGCCGTTAATAGGCATAACAAATTTAATGGATGTCAAGAGCATTATGCTGAATTAAATAAGTTAGCCTCAAAACATTACACACACTATATGATTCTATTTATATGACATTCTTGAAATGATAAAACTATAAGGCCAGAAAACAGATCAGTGATTACCAGAGCTTACATATAAAGGAAGGTGTGACAGAGGGATAAAATCAGGGAGTTTTTTGGGGTGATAGAACTATTTGGTATACTCATTCCGGTGTTGTTTACATGTATGAAAGCTAGTAGAACCACATGCTTTCTGTTGTATATTGCATCCCACATCAATCCATTAATTCCCTTGTACTTCCCTGTCAGAGCTCTTACATGGCTACATGCATTGTCAAGAAACAATAATATTTTGAAAGGAATCTATTTTTCTGAGCAGCAGATCTCAACAGTGGGTTTAAAATATTCAGTGAACCATGCTATAAACAGATGTGCTATCATCCAGGCTTTGTAGTTCTATTGATAGAGCACAGACAGAGTAGATTTAGCATAACTCTTAAGAACCCTAGGATTTCAGAATGGTAAACGAGCATTGGCTTCAGTTTAACATCACCAGCTACATTTTATCACCCAACAATTGAGTCAGACTCTCTTTTTAAAGCTTTAAAGCCAGGGATTGACTTCTCCTCTGTAGCTATGAAAGTCCTAGATGGCATCTTCTTCCAATAGAAGGCTGTTTTGTGTACATTGAAAATCTGTTGTTTAGTGTATTCACTTTCATCATCTTCTGGACAACTTACTGCAGCTTCTTCATCAGCACTTGCTGCCTCACCTTGCACTTTTATGTTATAAAGATGACTTCTTTCCTCAAACCTCATGAATCAACCTTGGATAGCTTCCCATTTTTTTTGAGCAGGTCCCTCACCTCTCTCAGCCTTCATGAAATCAAAGTGACTTAGGGTCTTGCTGTGGATTAGGCTTTGGCTTAAGGGGATGTTGTGGCTAGTTTGATCTTCTATCCAGACAACTAAAATATTCAAATTTACTCCATATCAGAAGTAAGGCTCTTTTGCTTTCTGATATGCTTGGATTTGTGTCCCCACCCAAATCTCATGTCCAGATTGTAATCTCCAGTGTTGGAGGAGGAACATGGTGAGAGGTTATTGGATCATAGGAACGGACCTCCCCCTTGCTGTTCTCGTGATAGTGAGTTCTAATGAGATGCAGTTCTTTAAAAGTGTGTAGCGCCTCCCTCTTTACTCTCTTTCTCATGTTCCCACCATGTAAGACATGCTTGCTTTCTCTTCACCTTCCAACATAATTTTAAGTTTCCTGAGGCTTCCCCAACCATGCTTCCTGTACAGCCTGTGGAACTTTGAGTCAATTAAACCTGTCTTCTTTACAAATTACCCAGTCTCAAGTAGTTCTTTATAGCAATGTGAAAACGGACTAATACAAAAAAATTGGTACCCAGGAGTGGGGCATTGCTATAAAGATACCTGAAAATGTGGAAGTGGTTTTGGAGCTGGATAATGGGCAGAGGTTGGAACAGTTTGGAGGACTCAGAAGAAGAGAGAATGATGAGGGAAAGTTTGGAACTTCCCAGAGACTTGTTAAATTGTTGTGACCAAACTGCTGATAGTGATATGGATAATGAAGTTCAGGCTGAGTTGGTCTCAGATGGAGAAGAGGAACTTATTGGGAACTGGAATAAAGGTCACTCCTGCTATGCTTTAGCAAAGAGACTGTTGATATTGTGTCCCTGCTCTAGGAATCTGTGGAACTTTGACCTTGAGAGTGATGATTTAAGGTGTCTGGCAGGAGAAACTTCTAAGCAGCAAAATGTTCAAGATGTGTGTATTAGTCCACCCTCATGCTGCTATGAATAAATACCTGAGACTGGGTAACTTATAAAGACAAGAGGTTTAATTGATTCACAGTTTTGCATGGCTAGGGAGCCCTCAGGAAACTTACAATCATAGTGGGAGGCACCTATTCACAAGGCAGCAGGAAAAAGAATGAGTGCCAGCAGGGAAAATGCCAAACATTTATAAAACCATCAGATCTCATGAGAACTCACTCACTATCATGAGAACAGCATGGGGGAACTGCCCCATGATTCAATTACCTCCCACCAGGTCCCTCTCATGACATGTGGGGATTAAGGGGATTATAATTCAAGATGAGATTTGGGTGGGGACACAGCTAAACCATATTAATTTGGCCTGGCTCCTTCTAACAGCATATGGTCATATGCATGACCAAAGAGATAATCTGAAACTGGAACATATTTAAAAAGAAAGCAGAGCATAAATGTTTGGAAAATTTGCAGCCTGACCATGTGGTAGAAAAGAAAAACCCATTTTCTGGGGAGGAATTCAAGCCAGCTGCAGAAATTTGCATAAGTAAAGAGAAGCTGAATGTTAATATCCAAGACAATGGGGAAAACGCCTTGAAGACATTTCAGAGACCTTTGCAGCAGCCCCTCCCCTCACAAACCTGGAGGCCTAGGAGGGAAAAATGGTTTTGTGAGCCAGGCCCAGGGCCTCACTGCACTGTGCATGCAAACTCAGGACATGGCACCCTGCATTGTGGTCATTCTAGCACCAGCCATAGCTAAAAGGTGCCAAGGTGCAGCTCAGGCCATTGCTTCAGAGGGTACAAGCCTCAAGCCTTAGTCACTTCTATGTGGTGTTATGCTTGCAGATGCATAGTGGGAAAGAGTTGAGGCTTGGCAGCCTCTGCCTAGATTTCAGAGGATGTATGGAAATGCCTGGATGTCCAGCCAGAAGTCTGCTCCAGGGGTGGAACCCTCATGGAGAACCTCTACTAGGGCAGTGCAAAGGGGAAATGTGGGGTTGGAGCCCCCACATAGAGTCCCCATTGGGGTGCTGCCTAGTGGAACTATGAGAAGAAGGTCACCATCCTCAGACCCTAGAATGGTAGATTCACTGACAGCTTGCACTGTGTACCTCAAAAAGCTGCAGGCACTCAATGCCAGCCTGTGAAAGCAGCTCTGGGGACTGTACCCTAAAGAGCCACAGGGGCAGAGATGCCCAAGGCCTTGGGATCCCACTTGCATCAGTGTTGCCTGGATGTGACACATGGACTCAAAGGAGATTATTTAGGAGCTTTAAGATTTAATGACTGGCCTGCTGAGTTTTGGATTTGCATGGGGCTTGTAGCCTCTTTGTTTTGGCCAATTTCTCCCTTCAGGAACAGATGTATTTACCCAATGCCTGTACCCCCGTTGTATCTTGGAAGTAACTAACTTGGTTTTGATTTTACAGGCTCATAGATGGAAGGGACTTGTCTCAGATGAGACTTTGGACTGTGGACTTTTGAGTTAATGCTGAAATGAATTCAGATTTTGGGAGACTGTGGAGAAGGGATGATTGTATTTTGCAACGTGAGAAGAACATGAGACTTGGGAGGGGGCAAGGGTGGAATGATATGGTTTGGATTTGCATCCCCACCCAAATCTCACATATGAATTGTAATCTCCAATGTTGGAGGAGGTGATTGGATCATGGGGACAGACTTTCCCCTTGCTGTTTTCATGATAGTGTGTTCTCATGAGATCTGGTTGTTTAAAAATGTGTAGCACATCCCCTTTCACTCTCTTTCACCTGCTTATGCCATGTAAGATGTGCCTGCTTCCTCTTTGCCTTCCATCATGATTGTAAGTTTCCTGAGGCCTCTCCAGCCACACTTCCTGTACAGTCTGCAGAACTGTGAGTCAATTAAACCTCTTTTCTTCACAAATTACCCAGTCTCAGGCAGTTCTTTATAGCAATGGAAGAATGGACTAATACACTTTCTTTTTTTTTTTTTTCCTTTTCTTTTTCAGAGATAGTGTCTTGCTCTGCCACCCAGGCTGGAGTGCAGTGGTGCAGTGGTGCAATCATAGCTCACTGCAATCTTGAACTTCTGGGCTCAAGTGATTCTCCCACCTCAGCCTCCCAAGTTGCTAGGAATACAGCATGCACTACCACATGCAGCTAATTTTTTAAATTTTTTATAGAGTCTCACTATGTTTCCCAGGCTGGTCTTGAACTTCTGGCCACAAGCAATCCTCCCATCTCGGCCCATTTCAGACTTCACCTTCAAAACTGTAAGATAATAAGTTGGTTTTAACACACTACATTTGTTGTAATTTGTTACAATAGCAATAAGAAACTAACATAGTCAGTCACCCAGCTGGTAAGTAGCAGAATTGGTATCTTGCAAATAGGTGTGATGGATTCCAAAATCAGCACTCTTTCCGTCACTATGGGGATGTGGTGATTTTAAAGAAACTGTGGATTCAAAAGTGGAAGGCAATGAGCTGTAAAAAGCAAGAAGAGCATTGGAGTGCTGATAATGGGGTCTACTTGCCTTCAAATAACTTCTTCCATATGGCCTGATGTTTTTCATTTCAATAATTATGAAGTCATTTGGGTTCAAAAGCAGTCTTTTCAAATTATTGCAAATACTACTAGCAAGATCCAAAGGTCAGTGGCACTTTAGGATGTATTGAGTTAATCTCAGTTTTTCTCCTATACTCGGTAATAATAACTTCAATGAAGAAATTGGAGTTTTGATAATAGTCATCCTAACTGGAATGAGATGGTATCTCAATGTCATTTTGATTTGTATTTTCCTGATGATTAGTGATGTTGAGCATTTTTTCATATACCTATTGGCCATTTGTATGTTTTCTTTTGAGAAATGTCTGTTAACATCTTTTGCCCATTTTTAATAGGGTTTTTTTGTGGTTAATTTCTTATATATTCTGAATATTAACCCCTTGTTAGATGTATAGTTTGTGAATATTTTCTACCACTATGTAGGTTGTCACTTCACTCTGTTAATTTAGAATGGCTATTATTAAAAAAACAAGTGTTGGCAAGGATGTGGCAAGAAGGGGAAATGCTTACGCACTGCTGGTGGGAATATAATACAGCCACTACAGAAAACAGTACAGATGTCCCTGAAAAAATTAAAAATAGAACTACCATATGATCCAGAAGCCCCACTACTCTGTGTATTTCCAAAGGAAACAAAATCAGTACATCACAGATATCTGCACTTCCATGTTTACTACAGCACTATTCACAATAGCCAAGACTTGAAATCAACCTAAATGCCTGACAACAGTTGAATGGTTGAAGAAAAAGTGGTATATCTACACAATGGAATACTATTCAGCAATAAAAAGAATGACATCCTGTCATTTGAGAAAGATGGATGATCCTGGAGGATGTCATTAAGTGAAATAAGCCAGACACAGAAAGACAAATACTACATGATCTCACTCATTTGCAGAAGCTAAAAAAAAGTTGATCTCATAGAAGCAGAAAGTAAAACAGTGGTTACCAGAGGTTGGGTAGGGGTGAAAAGAGGGGATGATGGAGAGAGGCTGGTCAACAGGTACAAAGATACAATTAGATAGGAGGAATAAGTTCTGGTGTTCTATTGCACAGTAGGGTGACTATGGTTAACAGTAAGGTAATTGTATATTACAAAATAGCTAGAAGGGGGGCTTTTGAATGTTCTCACCACAAAGAAATAATAAATGCATGAGGTGACAGATATGCTAACTGCCCTGATTTGATCATTATGCAATGTATACATGTATCAGAACACTGAATTGTACCCCATAATATGTACAATTAAGATTTTTTTAAAAAGAAATTGGAGTTTTGATTGGGTGAGGTGAAGCAAATAATTTTGAAGTATTGGCAGCACTTCAGTTTATAGGCAGGCCTTAGTGGGCAGAGAAGGTGATGTCAATGGAAAGCTTGGGGCCATTGAGGGCAATAGGTACAGTATGCCAAAGACTACTCAACCTATTTCAAACTTTCCAGAGGGTGACTGACCGTATAGATGTTTTCAGATTTCTTAAACTGCACAAGACCCTCTTTATACTAGCAACTTCACTTAAACCTCACCTTCAAAAGCCTTGCCTTTTGTCTCTCACTTCATTTGTACAACCAGGGGTCACATCTAGGATGGTGAAGCTGTTAAAGAAGTAGGGCTGGCTGGCCCTAGTCAAATTTGTGAAAGATGCAGCTCTATTTCCTTTTAATTTGAGCAGGGACTTTGATGCCTTAATCTAGCAAGGATTCTCCAACAGAAAGGTTTTTGTTTTGTTTTATTGATCTGGAAGGTTTTGAAGGTTCACCTGGGAGGTAGCCATCAGTACACATCCTTCTCTGAGGTCAGGATACCAATAAGAAAGGGAGGCTGGCAAGCTGAGTGGATGCCTTGGGGATTTTACTCTTATTTTGCCATTTCCCATCCTATCTCCTCACCCTGAGTAACCCCAAGGATTTGGGGGGAAATGAAAATTAGTTTTTCCTCACAAGTTTACAATGGTTTCCTTAACTCAAAAAGGAGTGTTCGGGTATGGGAATGTATCTTGGGTGGGAACTTCAAACACTCTGTATAGGGCTCCCCAATGGCAAGAAAATCTCTTTTCTCTGTTTAGCTCATTTGGAGTAGACATTCTATCAAGAATGTATTAGAGACTACAAAGGAAAGCAGAACAATAATATTCCTTCCTTTATTTCTCATCCTCACTGAATGATATGGCAGGTGTAGTGGAGTCCGAAGGAAAATAGATTTCTTCCCTCCCATCCTAACCGAAAGTGTAGTGATGCCTATAATCCACCTCCATCATAGATGAAAAGTTGAAAAAAATAAAAATATAACAAAGGTAGTTCAGAACTGCTGATAGAGGGGGTTGGATGATTTAACAAAAGAGACAGACAAAAATATTTTACAACACTATAATTATAAAGTTGAAGGCACATCCTTGGCAGAAATATGATCAATTACATGCTTATGAAAAACAAACTACTGAATATCTTAACTACAGTAGATGGATATTGCACAACATCGTCCACTGCTGTTTTCGGTACCAAACAATCAATGTTCAACAACGTTTAGCTAAACATTTCTTTAACTAAAAACGTAAGGTTGAGACGCCTGGTTTTGGCTACAAAAGGCATTTGTTATCAACACTGTGAAAGAAGCTCTTTTAACTGAAGAACAAGAACTCATGCTTTGTGCTCTATCTGGTTACTCATACCAGATGGAGGGACTGCAGAAAGTTAGTGTAAAAATAGGTAATAATTTGGCATGAATCTATATTTTTTCTATTTTGTAAAATAATACTTAAAAATGTAGAAAAGAAACAAAACAAACAAAAACCCAAAAGGAGTGATTCCAGGAATGTCTTTATTCTTTTTAAAATAACCAGTAACCAGATGCCTCACCCAGAGAAAAAAACAAAATGGAGTAAAATAAATATCAAGAAAAATCATTTTAAAGCATGATCCATAAGTAATAGAAAAAATTCTCTTAACATACATTTTTGATTTTAAGCTGTATACAGAAAAGATATGCGCACTTAAAGTTTTGGAAACATCTTGTCTACAGTGCTATTTTAAGCATTCTATACATATGAATAAAGAATACTTTTTAAAAAATTAAAGCACAATATAAAATTACTTGTTCACAAGGCATCAAATTTGACATTCTAAAATGTTGATACTAAACTAGGAAAAATAACGTTTCTATTTTCACAAATGACACACCATACATCTTGAGACTACAATACTACTACTCTAGCTGTGTTTTAATCTTTGAAATTCAAAAGGCATCTTTGGATATTTAAGTTTAAGGTGCCACATAGGTGAGTCTGAACCGGCACTGGATATTAAAGTATCCTTGTTATCTTCAGACTAAGGGCATGGTTGCTGAGTGAATACAGAAGAGTGATAAATGAAATATAAATAGAGAACTTCAAATATTCAAATATCAAATTCAAATATAAATCCATTTCCCTTCAGTATGGTAATATGTATGTATGTGTATGTACATATATATGTGTGTATATATATATGTATGTGAATACACAGAAATACACATTTATAAAATTTCTCATTACTAACTCCTGACTTAAAGCTAGCTACTAACTGAAAGCAGTATTTTTGATTCCCTCCATAATCACCTCTTTCTCCTGTAAATACAGCTTCTCTTTGAAGCTAATGAAAGTTCAAGATTGCAAAAAAGACTTGTGGTAGAGGATTCAAATGTGGCTACATATTACTTAAAGCAGGACTTTTTCTAATTAGCATGTTTTCTGTTCTTGTTGTAAGAGCTGAAATTATCTCTTTGATTATTTCAATACTACAAGCTGCTATTCCCACTGTCCCACAATATGAATACAAGACCAAGAGGATGACTCCAAGGTACACATAATAATGGAAGAATAACTGGCTGTGTTCAACTGCTTGAGGTGGGTGGGAGGGAGAAGGAGGCATGCTTCTTTTTTCAACATTTACCCTATCAGCTCTGTCTTCTAGAAGAAACAAGTTGTATTATAAGATGGGCCACTGGAATTAAAATAATAAATAATAAAACTCAAACTGAAAGCATGGAGGATGGCATAGGCATTGGTCTAAAAAAAGGGCCTAGATATGCAAACCCATTGATATTTCAGTGAAATGGGTTTGCCTTTCTAGATTAATAGCACCTTCATCAAAAGCTTCAGTTCTCTCTTTAAGACAGCTGAGACAGAAATTAGATCTTTTCTAAATCTGAAAGACAGCATGGAATAAGGTTGTAAACTTTGCATGTGTATATATGAAAGGATAAAAGAGAAAAGGGGTAGGAAAGGAAGAACTCCATCCCCTACCCCCACCTGATTTTAAGACTCTGCTCTAGAAAAATGATTTTTTTGTATTTATTACTGACCTCAAGGGGAGAAAAGAACTAACATTTACCGAGTACAAATCCTATGTGCCAGATGTTGGGTTAGCAGCAGCTTTGCTTCTGGTAATGGGAACAAAATGTTAGGAATTTACTTATGAGTCCTCTTCATTTACATATTCTGCATATGAAATCCATCTTGCAACTAACAAAGAAATTTAAATAGTCTTACAAGTACCAGATCTCTGACCAGTGTATTAGCTACCAGGCACTCACAAGGGAATTTCTAAATCCATTTGGCAATGGGAACAAGCTCCTAAATTTGCCAACCACACTAACTAGGCAAGTTCAAATGTTTTAAACTAGAGAAGAGTATATATTTAGCTAAAAAGCGTCATAACCTAGGGAAATTTTAGTTTCTGTATTATGATTTTACTGTATTTTTTGGTAAATGCAGCTTTGTGTAATAGCATTATTTTAAAGTCTTTTTGAGAGGTTATCTGAAACACTAAAAGATAAATAAAATCTATTAAATTATATATACTAGCAAAGTGATTATACTCAATTCAAAAAATACAAATTTAGGCTGGGCATGGAGGCTCACACCTGTAATCCCAGCACTTTGGGAGGCCAAGGCGGGTGGATCACCTGAGGTTAGGAGTTTAAGACCAGGCTAGCCAACATGGCGAAACCCCGTCTCTACTGAAAAATATGAAAATTAGCCGGGTGTGGTGGCAGGCACCTGTAATCCTAGCTACTCAGGAGGCTGAGGCAGGGAGAATTCCTTGAATCCGGTAGGCAGAGGTTGCAGTGAGCCAAGATGGTGCCACTGCACTCCAGCCTGGGCTGCAAAACAAGACTCTGTCTCAACAACAACAACAACAACAACAACAACAACAAACAAATTTAGTGAATCCAGGTAATTTTATATGACCTGTATATGTATAATAGTTTTAATCTTTGAAAATTTTTTGAGCAGAAAAGGCTCATAATGTTAAGTTTCCAGACTGAGATCAGCAGACTACATGAAGAATAACTTAGAGTCCAACTTGGCAGGAGTGAACTGAAACTGAGCACAGAGCTAGGAAACTTGAAGGAATAATTTGATATACTTTTTACAACAGTGGAAAGATGGGAGGCAGGGAACCCTACAGACCTTTAAGGTCTTTTGAGCTACAAAATTTAAAAAGGAGCAAAATATTAGAACAGTTGTCAGTTATTTTTAATCAATGAAAAACCACCTAAACTTGGTTAGCTCGAAAGAAAATAACAAAAGAAGACATATTGGAGCATCTAAAAAAGCACCTGCAAGGACAAGGATGCAGGGAGAATGGGGGAAAGAAAGCCTGCAATAAATAAGGCACATCTATTTTTAAACAGTTTCAACTGTTTCCCTTCTAAAACTAGATGTTTTATACACAGTGCTTTGAAAGTCATTGCTCCCCAGTGGGGCAGGGATACAGGCTTGAGAGTATCTTCAATATTTTGAGTTCAAAAGCATGAATATCTTCATGCTCTCAAATCTTCAAATTTTTCATTTTCTTCTTCTTGGGCCTTTTTTTTTTTGGTCAAATAAAAAAAAAATCACTTTAGCAGCAGTTCAGCAATCTCTAATTGTAGGGCTTGTTGTAAACCTCACTGCTCTACCTTATCTGTTGTTAGTGAAAACAAAAATATACTGGAAATTCAGTTTAAATAAAGCTAGGTTCAGAGCTGATGCCTTGAAAAAGATATTTTTGCCAACAGATAAACGCAACTCAAATAGAATCCCTAATATAAGAGCATGAGAAAAATCCTTCTACAATATTTTGAAAAGTGAAGGTAACATCATGAATGCTGTGTCAGTGCATGACAAGTTAAACTGGCAGCACTCTCCATGGCCTTTTATAATGCAGTGTCATCATCTTCCCTGAAGTCTCCCACCAGGAGTGAGTGCTTGTCAGGTTCACTGGTAACAACACTGTTTAGGGAGCGTTTATCAGACAGTAGTGAGTTTATAGAGGCTCTGCTATAATTAACAATCCGGTCCAGCAAACCCAGTTTAGGAGAATTCCTTGAGGTATCATCTATTCCAACATGAACGCTGATTTCTGAAGGACTCTTCTGTCCTATCTGGCTCCGGGCAGGCAGTTCATAACTCTCGTAAGTTGGTTTCCTGTAACTGGACATATGCAAAAGTATGCTAGTTTCAAATAACCAAAAGTAAATGAGATGCTCGCTACATGCAGAAAAGAAAGAAGATTTGCTCATCCACACTTAGTTTTGGTATGAAATGTATAAAGGTGATCACTGGTAGGAAAATAGCTTGAAACGAATTGTGTGGAGTTATATCATCAGAAACCCTACTTCTCAGAATTAGTGCACTATATTTTATCCCACTCAGTGCTTGTGGTTGCTATGCATAAAGTACACGAAGTAACAATTACATAGCTAATTATTACTGTTAGCTAATAATAATTCTTTTCTTTTTTTGAGATGGAATCTCACTCTGTTGCCTAGGCTGGAGTGCAGTGGCACGATCTCAGCTCACTGCAACCTCCACCTCCCAGGTTCAAGTGATTCTCCTGCCTCAGCCTCCCGAGTAGCTGAGATTACAGGTGTCTACCACCATGCCCAGCTAATTTTTGTATTTCTAGTAGACATAGGGTTTCACCATATTGGCCAGACTGGTCTCAAATTACTGACCTCAGGTGATCTGCCCACCTCGGCCTCCCAAAGTGCTGGGATTACAGGTGTGAGCCACCACGCCCGGCCGCTAATAATAATTCTCATTAAGAATGGTTTGGGCTTATCATTGATCAATACAAGAATAAAACCTACCAAGAATGACTAGATGATAACAGGAATACAAAATACAAATGTGAGCAAGCTATCATACTTACAGTTTAAGGAAGAGAGAAGAAAGTACTACAGAAACAGATGAAGCAGCCATTGCTGCAGATCCCATCCAGGGCTGCAAAACCAAACCAATGGGCATAAAAACTCCTAAGAAACAAGTATGGATTAGTTAGAGTAGATAATACTAAACAGATTATTAATGTGTTTCTAACATACATACAAATCATTTCTTTGTTTGATACTTCTTCAGCATTTATCCTCTTGGTGGTAGAGATTTTTGTTGTTGCCATTTTTTTCACTAACAGAGTGTTGCTGTTAACATTCTTGTACATGTCTCCCCGTGTCCATGTTTGAGAGTTTCTGTGGGGTATATACCTAGGGGTGAAACTACTGGGTCATAACATGGGCACATCTTCAACTTTACGTGGATATTCCTCAGCTGTTCTCCAAAGTGGCTGTAGTGATTCAAAATCCAACCAATAGCGTATGGGAGTTCATGTTCTACAAACTCATCCACACTTGGTTTTCACAGACATAAGAATGTTTGCTCACATGATGAGGATGAAATAGACTCATACTTTTAACTTTTTATGTGCTTCTTTATATTTTTCTACTTTTTCTATGGTGATCATATATTACTTGTATAATTATTTAAAAATCACTTGCTCCATGAATTAATCTTACTGGACTTAGATTGTTCTTTTGTTCTTTGTTCTCTCAGTATTTGTGTGTCCTTGCTGATAAACAGTTTTGTAATTGTTCTCATGTCATTTCTTGTCTTTCCTTGGCCCTCAAACCAGAGAGAACAAGAAGAAAACAATACTTATTTCTTTTATGTCATCATTACTAACTCCTACCAGGTCCCTAAGTTTAGGAGATTCTCAGATGCTTATTAAATAACTCTAAATTCTTTTTTCTCAGTTATATTGCTTTGTTCACTCTCTCTGTCATCTGGTCTCTCAACCTAAAAAAAATACCAGCTGACTATAATAGAATATTAAGTGAAGAGCAGAAAATTCTCCATAAGCTACAATCACAACTATGTAACAAGACAAAAACTGATGTAGAGTAAAAAAAAGACTAGAGGAAAATACTTGTATAATTCTTTAAAAATCATTTGCTCCATGAATTAATCTTGCAAACAGTGTTGGGTTTGGGTAGTCAGATTAAAGGTAAATCTATTTAGAAAAAAATTAATAAGCAAACAAATACATATCTCTGTGCAAATATATGCAGAAAGAGATGAAGCAATGTGGCAAAATACCATCAGTTGGTGAGTTTAGGTGAAAGGCATACAGATTTTTATTGTACCATTTTTTTCAATGTTTTTGGAGGTATGAATTTTTTTTTTTTTTTTTTTTGGAGACGGAGTTTCGCTCTTGTTGCCCAGGCTGAAGTGCGATGGCGCGATCTTGGCTCACCACAACCTCCACCTCTTGGGTTCAAGCGAGTCTACTGCCTCCGTCTCCCGAGTAGCTGGGATTACATGCATGTGCCACCACGCCCGGCTAATTTTGTATTTTTAGTAGAGACGGGGTTTCTCCATGTTGGTCAGGCTGGTCTTGAACTCCCAACCTCAGGTGATCCGCCCACCTCAGCCTCCCAAAGTGCTGGGATTACAGGTGTCAAGTTTGAAATTTTTCAAAATACAAAGTTGAAGGCTGGGAGTGGTGGCTCACAGCTGTAATCCCAACACTTTGGGAGGCCGAGGTGGGTGGATTACCTGAAGTCAGGAGTTCGAGACCAGCCTGGCCAACATGGAGAAACCCCGTCTATACTAAAAATACAAAAATTAGTTGGGCGTTGTGGCGGGCACCTATAGTCCCAGTTACTCAGGAGGCTGAGGCAGGAGAACTGCTTGAACCCAGGAGATGGAGGCTGCAGTGAGCCGAGATTGTATGACTGCACTCCAGCCTGGGCAACAGAGTGAGACTCTGTCTCAAAAAAAAAAAAAAAAAAGTTGGAGGGAAAAAAATAAATCTGTCAGAATGCTTATATATTCTTAAGCTATAACAAACATTACTGAAAATTAAAATGATTGATTTTAACATTACCTCTCACCATACCAGTAGGCTACAAACAAAAACTAAGCTCAAAACTAATAGTAAGAAGACAGGCTTCCAATATGTTAGGTCTCTAATAACTTTAGTGGAAAAAGCAGTACTAGTTAAGAGTCACATACCAGCAGCTATGGGAATTCCAACCAGATTATAAATTAGAGCAAAGACAAAATTTATCCGAATCCTCTTGACTGTCTTTCTTGATAAGTCAATACTTGCCACTACATCCAGAAGATCATTCTAAGAACAGAAATATTTGTGATATTAGTAAGAGACTCTAACTTAACCAGTAACTTTTACATTTGATACTGTGTATGTTGAAGATTACGTCTACCTTAGGGTAATATGTGAATTAATTACAAATCTCAGATAATGCTAAAACTTAGACTCAGCTTCCGAAGGTGTTTTTCAAAAATTTTCCTCAGGGTTCTGAAAACACTTTTAGGGGTGTATGCTGGTACTATGATTAAATCTACTTAAAATAATCTCAGCAACTATTTGTTGAAGATCATTTTATTCCGAATCCATTCTTAAATCTTCTTCTTCACTTCAGAAACTTATAATTCTCACTTGCTTATGAGCTGGGTTGAGAAAGTCAGGGGGTAAATTAGCATGACTTCCCATAATCCCACTCCATATTCTTAAACTCTTAATGGCTGATAGCATGGAACTTAAGACAGAATTGTTATGCTCAATATACTTTATGACATTATCATTGACCACATAGGGCAGTCTCATACTCCTCAAAGGTCAAGCCATGGCACTTACCCTTATCAAAACCACATCAGCTGCTTCAATGGCTACATCTGTGCCTGTGCCAATAGCAATTCCCACATTAGCCATTGCCAGAGCTGGGGAGTCATTGATTCCATCTCCCACCATTGCTACCCGTTTCCCCTCCTCTTGAAGTTGCTTCACTTTAGCAACCTTGTGAGAAGGTAGAACTTCAGCAAACACCTTAGTAATGCCAACCTATGTGATGAAAATAAACTCAATTCATTTAAAAAATAATGAGTACGTGAAACATAACTGAGCAATAACAAGCCATCAGTTTTCACCCACAAGATGTCCACATTTTAAAAGACTGATAATATCTAGTGATAGCAAGGATGTGGAGAAATGAGCTCTCTTATACACCAGTGGCTGGTGTGTAAATTGTAACTCTTTTTGGAGGGCATCTGGCAGCATCTATCAAAATGTGAGCATCATTTGGTCTAGCAATTCCATGTCTAGCTCTATCTTGGACAGGCTTGCACATGTACAGAAAGATACATGTCCAAAGATGTTTATTATTGCCTTGTTTGCAAAAAGAAAATTTTCAAAACCACCCAAATGTCCATCATTAGGGAAATGGTTAAATAAATTATGATACATCCATACCATGGAATTCAGTATAGAAAGAATAAAGTAACTTTGTAACTTTTTTTTTTTTTTTTTTTTGAGACAGAGTCTTGCTCTGTCACCCAGGCTGGAGTGCAATGGTACCATCTCGGCTCACTGCAACCTCCGCCTCCTGGTTCAAGCGATTCTCCTGCCTCAGCCTCCTGAGTAGCTGGGATTACAGGCATGCGCCACCACACCCGGCTAATTTTTGTATTTTTAGTAGAGACAAGGTTTCACCATGCTGGCCAGGCTGGTCTCAAACTCCCGACCTCATGTGATCTGCCCACTTCAGCCTCCCAAAGTGCTGGGATTACAGGCGTGAGCCAACAAACCCGGCCAAAATAACTTTATGTTCAGATATGGATGAAGCTCCAAAGTATACTGTTACGTAAAAAAAGCAAACTACTGAACAATCTGTTCAAAATGATCTGATGTTGAAAAGACCAGAATTATACTGTATATGTACTCTGTATATGCACATATATGCATATGAAAAAGTGGCAGTGTGAGGGGCAGTAGGACTGAATGGGGAGCATGGGGAAAAGAGGACATTTTTACTTTATATCCTTCTGTATTTTTTACATAAGAAGGTGTTAATAGGCCGGGTGCGGTGGCTCACACGTGTAATCCCAGCACTTTGGGAGGCCGAGGCGGGCGGATCACCTGAGGTCCGAAGTTCACGACCAGCTTGACCAACATGGAGAAACCCTGTCTCTACTAAAAATACAAAATTAGCCGGGCGTGGTGGTGTATGCATGTAATCCTAGCTACTCGGGAGGCTGAGGCAAGAGAATCGCTTGAACCCAGGAGGTGGAGGTTGCGATGAGCCGAGATCGCGCCACTGCACTTCAGCCTGGGCAACAAGAGCGAAACTCCGTCCCAAGAAAAAAAAAAGAAACAAAAGAATGTATTAAAAGATTACTTGCATTATTTATTAGAAGAGGGGAGAAGGCATTCCAAAGTTAAAAAGATTGAAAAATTTTAGAGATAAGGCAGATGTGGGAGTCAGGAGCAGAAAAATGGTATGTCAAAGTGGTGCATTAGGAAAATAGTTCCATTGGTGGTGGTATTTAGGATGGACTAGAGAGGGATGTGTGTGGAGCTATTGCTGTGTTTCAGGCATGAGATCAGGAGAGCCCAGCTTAGGTTGGCAGCACTGGTAAAGAATATGAGCAACATTTCAAAGGGCACATCAACAGAAATTGGTGTACAGTGTCACGCAAGCATCCCATGAACTAAGCAAATACCTTTTTACGTATAACAGCAACACACAAAGCCCAAAGTCTTTCCAGCAAAGCATGGTAAATTTTCTTGAAGGAACCAGATAGGACTACTCAGTGATAATGAAAATAGTAGGTAATGTAAATTTCTTAGCATTTGAAGGCAAGATATAAAATGTATATCAATAATTAGAAGTTATCACATACCCCTATCAATTACCTGAGAAGCAATAGATCTAGCTGTTTTACTGTTGTCTCCAGTCATCAGAACTACTTCTAAGCCCATAGATTTCAGAATATGGATAGCCAGTTCTGCTTCAGGCTTCACTGTGTCTGCAATGGCTATCAAGCCACACAGCTCATCTAATATAGGGGCAGCACAAAATAAAAGAACTTGGAATATAGTGAAAGGAGAATAACATTTTGACTTGAAATTTCAGAATGAAATGAATTTTCTCAAGTAAAGTTGTTCAGGGCATGGCTTAACTTAAAATATCTCTAAGCCCACACAGACTTTATACTACAAACTCTGTAACAAGCCTCCATATTTGGTTATGAAAATTTCAGAGTGAGGTAGGGGTTACTAATAAAGTAATCACAGGAAAATAAAAAGAGAGACCTTACTGGATATTAGAAGACCCTTTTTGTTCCTCAGAAAGGTATTTGCCAACAGCCTCAAACACTTTATCTAATTTATAGGCAAATGAAACTGAAGATTAATACTTTTTTTCTTTTTAAGGTAAGGGGGGGGGGGCAGAGAGAGACAAAATGGGCACTTTATAGTGGGAAAAATATTACCATAAATCTTATTATTTTATTCTATTTACAAAACAAAAGTAAAATGGTATTCTCTGCTTCTTCCCAGACCTAAAAAGGCCATAGTAAAAGACTGCCTTCATACTTAGCAGACATTATAAATGTAGAGTGGAATTAATCTCACAACTAGAAATTTACCCTAAGAAATAACAAAATAAAGCACATACAACCTCAAAGATATTTATTGTAGTGTCATTTACAATAGTGAAATATTAGGAATAGCCTAAATTTCCAACAAGAGGGGAATGATTATAGTGTGTAAGATTGATAAATTATGCAGTATTATAGTAAAATTATATAGCAACATTAGAAAGCATTAAGTAAAATAAAGCATAATAAAATAGTATGTGTACAAGTGATTTTAACTTTATTGAGGTAAAATTTACTTACGATAAAATGTACCCAGTAAAAAATGGTATATGTACTAATACTGTAATTCTGCAAACACACACACATTTCAAGAAAACTAGGAATGGAATATACAAAATTAAAACTGACGTTGTGGGCTGGGCATGGTGGCTCACGCCTGTAATCCCAGCACTTTGGGAGGCCGAAGTGGGTGGATCACCTGAGGTCAGGAGTTCAAGACCAGCCTGGCCAAGATGGTGAAACCCCATTTCCACTAAAAATACAAACAATTAGCCGGGCATGGTGGTGCGCGCCTGTAATCCCAGCTACTTGGGAGGCTGAGGCAGGAGAATCGCTTGAACCCAGGAGGCGGAGGTTGCAGTGAGCCGAATCACATCATTGCACTCCAGTTTGGGCAACAAGAGAGAAACTCCGTCTCAAAAAAAACAAAAACAAGAACAAAAACAAAACAAAGAAACAAACAAAAAAAACCTGACATTGTGTTAGGATGATGGGATTACGAATATTATTTTACTTTGCTATTATTTTACTGTTGCTATTTTTAGGTTTTAAAAAATCCTTGATTAGCCTTCATTTAAAACATAGGCTAGGGAAGAAAGTAACAAAGGCAGGCAAATGCGAGAGAATTTTAAATTAATCAGTAATAATCATGTGTTGTTGACATTTTCATTTTGCATTCAAGATGCTTTTGAATAACCCTCATAGTTCAGAGGTCTCTCAAAAATAAATAAATTAATAAAACAATAACAAAACATTGAGTTATAGCATACTTATGGAAAACCTTACCATCAACTGCTACTAATACAGCAGTCCGACCTTTTCTCTCATGTTCAGTCATGAAATCATTTACATCGTTATTAATGACAAGACCATTTCTAATCATCCACTCCCGGTTACCAATGAGGACTTTATACTGCTGAGCATTAAGAGCATCTGAAAGTAGGCACAGAAATAACATTTAGTAAGTTCAATTAATCTTTATAAAACCCCATGAAGCAAGTTCTTCCTGTCTAACCTTGCACAGTCACTACATTGTATTGCTCCTAGAACATAGCCTCCAACAGTGATGTTCAAATTTTCTAAGAACATACTCTGTTCTTCCATGCCTCTGGGCCTTTGCACACATTGCTGCCTTCATCTGAAATGTCCTTATCCCTCCTCTCCAGACAGCAAACTCAATCACATTCTTCAAGAGCCAGTTCAAATATTACTTTCTTGGTGAGGCTTTCCCTTTGACCTTCCATAAAAATTCAATCAAATTTAAAAATACTTACTGTGCATCAGTAGCTGAATGTGGCTAGATGAACATGTACAATCATGCTGACATCTCATTTTCTTTAAGTGGGCTCTTAGTGCTATCTGGCAACTTAACTATATTTCCCTAGTCCATTCATTCTCCATTTCTTCTAGGTGGCTATTTCATACCTTCTCATCTCCCTTCAAATCTCCAACTTCTCCTGCCCCATCCTAATACCATATGATGACTCTGCTTCCTACTTCAGAAAGAAAATAGAAGCAATCAGAAAAGAACTTCCACAGCTCTCATTGCCGCATCCACTCAACTACCTGTGCCTCCTGTGTCTGTGTATCTAGCTTCCCTTCTGTTATTATAAACTGATTCTGCTCCTAATTTAAGGCCAACCTTTCTACTTGTGCACTAGACACCCCCGCTCCTTTGCCTATTCTAGAACATCTCTCCAACCCAACAATTCTCCCCGCCCACTCCTGCACAACTTTTCTCTGCTGTACATTGTCCTATCTTAAAAAAAAAAAAAAAAAAAAAAAAAACCTTTCTTGATCTCACCCACCTCTCTAGCTACCACATTTATCTGCTTCTGTACATAGCAAAACTTTCCAAAAGTATCTCTATTGGCTGTCTCCAATTCATATCTTCCCATGTTCTTGTGAACCTACCCCATTTATTGGGGTAGTCAAAAGCTTTATGCTTTTGACTCTAATACTCCAGTGAATTATTACAGCCAGTGACCTTTACTTTAATAATCCTAATAGTTAATTCTCATTCCTCATCTTACTTGTCCTATTAGCAGAATTTAACACAGCTGTTCACTCCCTCCTGGAAATACGTTCTTCATTTGGCTTCTAGGATACCACATTCTTAGGGGTTACCTCCTAATTGGCCACTTCTTGGCCTTCTTTGCCCATCCCTCCTCATCTCCCTAACTTCTTAATTTATAGTGCTGCAGGATTCAGTACTTAACTCTCTCTTTCCCTTTATCTACTCTCACTCCTTGGGGTTCTTATCCAGTCTCATGGCTTTAAATACCATCTATACCACTGCAGTCCAAGAGAACTTTCTGTGATATTAGAAATGTTCTATATCTGCTATGTTTAATACAATAGCCACTAACACACAGATGTGGCTATTGAGCACTGAAATGTGGCTAGTATGACTGAAAGATGAATTTTAAATTAAATTAAATGTAAATTAACTAATTTAAAGAGTCACATATAATTAGTGGCTATTTTCCTAGACACCACAGATCTATAAGCAGAGGACTCCCAAATCCATCTCTCTGATTCAGTCTGTTTCCTGGAATTCCAAACTTATGTAGCCAACTGCTTACTTCATATTTCCATTTATATGATATCACCACTTGGGATATCTCTAATAGGTACTCAAACTTAACATGTACAAAACTGAACTCCTGATCTTTTTCCCAATACCGTCCCTCCTGTGGGATCCCCCATCTTATTTAAATGATAACTCCATCCTTCTAACTGCTTAGGCCACAAACCTTGGCATAATTCTTGACTCCTGTTTGTCTCATACGCCATATATATCCAACCCATGAGAAAAATCTGTGACTCTCCTTTTAAGACACATCTAGAATTCTATCATTTCTTACAACCTCTGCTATACTGGTCCAAGCTACCATTATGTTTCACCTCGATTATGACAATGTCCACCAACTCATCTCCCTGCTTCTGCCCTTGCCCCGAATCCCCGCAAGATTCTCTCCTGCCTCAGCCTCCCGAGTAGCTGGGATTACAGGTGCCTGCTACCACGCCCGACTAATTTCTGTATTTTTAGTAGACACAGGGTTTCACCATGTTGGCCAGGCTGGTCTCGAACTCCTGACCTGAAGTGATCCACCCGCCTCAGCCTCCCAAAGTGCTGGGATTACAGGCGTGAGTCACCGCGCCCGGTTTACTTTTAAAATGTTAAGTCAGATTTTGTCCCTCCTCTACTCAAAACTGTCATATTGGTTTTGTCCTTACATATCTAGTCCCAAACCACCTCTCTGACCTTGTCTTATACCCCTTGCCCATCCATTTACTCTGCGCTTGCCACACTGTTCTCCTTGCCATTCCTCAAACAAGTCAAGCACACTCCTGACTAAAGGCTTTGGTACTTACTATTTCTCCTGCCTAGAACGTGTTTGCCACAGAAATCCACATAGCTTTTTCTCTCATCCCCTCAGATCTTCGTTCAAACACTACCTTCTCAGTGAGGCCTACCCTGATCACCCTATATGAAACAGAACCCACTACTCCCAGCACCCCTATGCCCCTTGCCCCACTTAATTTTCCTCCACAGCACTATCTCCATTGGAATTATTGTATTTTCTTATTTGCTCACTCTCTTGTGTTCTTCCACCAAGAATGTAAGCTCCATGAAATAAGAACTTAGTTTATCTTGTTTACTGCCGATTCTTTAGTGCCTTGAACAGTGCATGACACACAGTAGGTGCTCAATAAAAGCTGTCAAATGAATTTCCTATTTGTCACTGTGCTTGATACTAGAAGTTCATAGACAAATAATAAAGAAGTCACAGACTAGTAGAAACAGGCAGGTAAATATATAATTATCATACACTGTCCTAGTACAGTAACAGAGATTAAGTACAGTTATGATTCAGGAAGAAGAGCAAATACCTCTGTCAATATATGTCAGTCAATGAGGGTGTCACTGAAGAGAGAGATATAAGCTGGGTCTTGAAAGATAAGCGTAAGTTCACGAGATAGATGCCATTTGTGAACAAGAACATTACATAGAGAAAATGGTAAATGAAATGATCTAATAAGGAAATGACACACCGTAAGGAAGAACTGTAAGTAGTTAGGTAGGGATGGAACATGGAGTACATATGCGGTAGTGGAAAAAGAAGATGAGTGATGCAGGGAGGCAGGAGACATATCATGGGGAACAGATCTAAAACAAAGTCCAGAGAGACTGGACTTTGTCCCATAGGAGAGAGAGACCCATTAAAGCTGGGATCCTTAACAGAGACCCGTGGATGGGTTTCAGGATACATGTGCATCTCTTGAAACAAAAATTTTCTGAGGGGTGGGCCCATAGCTTTCATCATATTCCTCCAAAGGTCTATGGCTCAAAAACAGCTTATAAAACACTGTAATAAAAGGTACTGGTTAGAGAGTGACACGACTAGATTTCCATGTTAGCAAAATCACTCAGGCACAAATCGGGAGGGAGGTGTTGGAACACTTAGGTGGGTAGATCATGTTTTGGGGGCAGATAGATAGATCGGCATGGAGCCAAGGAAACAGGACTTAGCTAAAGATATGGATTTTAGAGCGGTAGTGGAAGTCTGTGGGTGGTAGACTAAGTGATGAGCATGAATAAGATTGTACAGAGAGAGTATGTATTATAAAATGAGAAAAAGACAAAGAACAAAACCCTGACGACATACGACATTTGAAAGCAAGAGAAATGAGGAACCAAAGGACAATTAAAAGGAACAGCCAGGGGTGCAGTGGCTCACACCTGTAATCCCAGCACTTTGAGAGGCTGAGGTGGGTGGATCACTTGAGGTCAGGAGTTTGAGACCATCCTGGCTAACATGGTGAAACCCCATCTCTACTAAAAATACAAAAAATTAGCCAGGCATGGCTGCGCACACCTGTAATCCCAGCTTCCTGGGGGCTGAGGCAGGAGAATTGCTTGAACCCAGGAGGCAGAGGTTGCAGTGAGCTGAGATTGCACCACTGCACTCCAGCCTGGGTGACAGAGCAAGACTCCTTCTCAAAAAAAAAAAAAAAGGAACAGCCAGGGAGGTGAGAGGAGAATCTAGACAAAGCAGGGTCATGGAATCATCCTTTAGGAAGGAAGGGATGGTCAACATTGTCAAATATCTTAATGAGGTCTTGCAGGATGAGGACTGAAAAGTGACCACTGGAGAGAGCAGTGAGGTCAATGGTCATCAGTTAACTTAGAAAGAACGGATTCAGTAGTATGGATGGGGGAGAAGCCAGACTGCAATGAACTGAGGCATGACTGTGGAGTAAGTGAATTCAACAAACCTAGATTACCATTTCTAGAACTTGGATATAAAAGAAAAAGACAGAATCTATATGGGAATATAGATGGGAAAGGACAAAATCTAGATGGGAATATAGTGATTTTGATGGAAGAAATGTTTATATGTTTAAGAAAAGAAGCTAAAACAGAAAGAGATGAAAAATAAAGCAGCAAGGGGACCTAACAGAAAGAGGGAGGTCCCTGATGAATCAAGAGAGGGTGGGATCTAGATGAAGGGATTCATTAGGCAAGATGAAGGATACTGCTTTCCCTGAAAAAAGGAATGATTCTGGGCAAAAATATGTAAGAACACATGCCCAAGAACCATAATTTTCTATATAAAAAATAAGATAATTTGCAGAGGGACAAAGGAGAGAGTCACAGGATCTTGTGAAAGATAGAAAAGGTTTGGAGTAGTTGTAGTGACAAAAGAATGATCATGGATGATCAGCTAAGGCTAGACCTCATCACCCTATGGTGGTGTCAATGACCACAGTTGGGAAATATTCTTGACTAATTTAAATGATCAGAAGGCATAGGGTATTGACTTGAGGAAATGAAATTATGATGCCAATTTTTGTTTCTTCTATAACAGTTCAGGGTTATAAAGTTAGCCATCTGTTCATAACTGCCCCATAATTGGTACTACAAAGAAAATTAGCTTACTTGAGATCTGGGCATCAATAATCATGGAAGACGAAGTTGATGACTGTTCATTACTGGCATCAATTTGAACCAGGGATGCATTTTTAATATTATTGTCCTCTATATTCCAGTTATTCTTATGTAGCAAGCCTTCAATATTGGTGACTTTACAGCTAATACCACAGCCTGGCACAACCTGGAAATCTATGCAGGTACCCAAGGTTTCAGTGTCCAGCTCCTAACAAACAGAAACAAAAGGATTTCCTCTACTGTTCTGATAATGCAAGGTCATTCATTAGCAAGATAAAAACCCCTAGTTAATTCTAAATGTTTATAATAAAATTGTCACATATTGCCTACTTGACAGTGGATTTTGATAAGGACAAAGGAATAGAGCATCAAACATAACATTCAAAGTTACAGAAGAGCCTCAAAGTCTTTGTTTTGACCAGGCACAGTGGCTCATGCCTGTAATCCCAGCTGAAGAAGCCGGCTGGGAAGCCGAGGTGGGCAGAGGGACCAGGCTGGCCAAAATGGTGAAACCCTGTCTCTACTAAAAGTGCAAAAAAATTTAGCCAGGTGTGGTGGTGCACACCTGTAATCTCAGCTACTAGGGAGGCTGAGGTAGGAGAATCACTTGAACTCAGGAGACGGAAGTTGCAGTGAGTTGAGATTGCGCTATTGCACTCCAGCCTGGGTGACAGAGTGAGACTCTGTCTCAAAAACAATAATAAAAAAAAATCTTTGTTTTAATCCCACTCTCTAAAATTTATAGAAAACATGGAAAGCTTATCAGTATTCTCTGCTCTTTCCAGTAGATAATTACAAATTAAATTTTTAACTCCATAGTCAAGTCAGGTTTTCTACTCAGTACAGGGCAAAGAGTAACAAAGTATAGGGCCTTTAGTTACCGGAGGCTCTCCATCTGCTCTATAGTCTACATCTTTAGCAAGCCGAAAAGTTCTGGGGGCCCTCATTGTTTCCTAGCTTTTTATAGCTTCATCCTCTCTGCTGTTTGATTTGGGTGTAAGGAAGCCAGGTCAGTAATAGGTAATAGGTAAAAGAGAAAGAACAAATAAATAAATGGCAACACCAATGGTAGAAACTGCCACGTTTTAAGTGTAAAATTAATGTGAGACAATTCATAAAGAACTCATGCAAATGAATAAGAAAAAGACAAACAACTCTGTGGAAAAATAGGTCATAGATACAAACAGGTTAGAGGAAAAGAAATTCAAATGGTCAATACATATATAAAAAGATGCTCAACCTTATTCATAATTAAGGAAATGCAAAGCAAACCATCAAGTAAATATTTTTTCACCTATTAAATTGAGAAAATAAAAATAAAGCGTTGGTAAGAATGTGGGGAAATGAGCACTCATAACTTTTGGTGCAGGTATAAATTGGTATAACCCCTCATGTATATTGGTAATATTCATCATATGGGTATTGGTAGCATTCATCAAAATTTAACTGCATGCATCCTTTGACTTAGCAATTGCATTGATAGGCATTTAATGTAGAGACAGACTTGCAAAAACTGATAAGGATGTTGAGTATATACTGCAAAAGTCAAAAAAAAACAAACACTCACACTATAGAGTATAATACAGCCATTAAAAACAATGAGGCAGATCTGCATTTCCTGACAGGAAAATTCACTTAATAAAATAAAAAAGCAAGGTAACAAAGATTGATCATTGTATGACCTTTCTGTATAAAGTTTAAAAGATGATAAATACGTATATGTGGCTATATGCATTAAAAACGGTTAACAGATGCACACCTTTATGACTATACTAAAATTATTGAATTGTACACTTTAAAAAGGTGAACTTTATAGTATATGAATTATATCTCAATAAAGCTGTCATTTTAAAAGACTGTTAATAGGTTAACAGTTGTTAAACTTTGGAGAGAGGAATTATGGAAGGGGGCAGGGAATGAGGTTTACAATTTTCATTATGTAATTCTCTGAACTATCTGAATTGTCCTACCACAAATATGTATAACTTCTATTTTAATTTTTTATGTCAACAGGAGTTATCTGTGTGATAGGATTATAGTTCATTTGTTTTCATCTGTATACTTGTCTGTATGAAGAAATAAGTTACATACAATTAAATGAGAAAATACAAGTCTTTTTAGCCTCATACCAACTATATATGCAAATCACAGTCAAACACCAGACTAGATTTGATCCGGGGAATTCCTACAGGAGATGACTACACTAATAAACAAGAGGAAAAAAATGTACCTGTTTGCAATATTTGGTTATGGCTGTTCCTAGAGGGTGTTCACTGTTACTTTCAGCAGTTCCCACAATGGCCAAGATTTTATGGTGTGATATTCTGTTACTTTCAGTTAGAACCTTTACTTGATTCACCACTGGGGTTCCGTGAGTAATGGTTCCAGTCTTATCAAATACCACTACCTTTACCTGTAAAAAAATTAAGATACAATGACTTGATGATCCTCCACATCACCTTTCCAGAAATAAGAAAAAGGTCTGTTTTGACAAAGAGATGACTATTTAGTTTCTTAGTAAACTGACCTTTGACTTAATTTGACTTAAAAAACTGATGGTCTTCGGGAAAATAAAAGAAGAAATACTCTTAGTTATACACAACAGCTCTCCTCTGCCAATGCTGAACTGTTTGTTCATGCTAAATAACTGTGAATATATGTTAAACAACTAGAGCTAATTTTTAAGGGTTGACTGTTAATAGGTAATTAAGAGACGCCTCTAGTGCCTCAAGGTAAAAAAGAAAGGCTTTCAATATAATGAATTATAGATCTGATGAGGAAATCTAAGCAGTAGGGAAATGATTATAAGAATAAAGGTAAATGGCCAGGTGCGGTGGCTCAAGCCTATAATCCCAGCACTTTCAGAGACTGAGGTGTATGGATCACCTGAGGTCAGGAGATCGAGACCAGCCTGGCCAACATGGTGAAACCCCGTCTCTACTAATAATAAAAAGTTAGCTGGGCATGGTGGTGCATGCCTGTAATCCCAGCTACTCGGGAGGCTGAGGCAGGAGAATCGCTGGAACTTGGTGGGTGGAGGTTGCAGTGAGCCGAGATCGCACCACTGCACTCCAGCCTGGGCCATAGAGCGAGACTTCATCTCAAAAAAAAAAAAAAAGAAAGAAAGAAAGAAAAGAAAAATAAACCAACAAAGTATGATTCTGGACAGGGGAAAAATAGCTATAAAGCACATTATTGAGACAACTGAGGAAACTGGAACATGGACTACAGATCAGATAACAACATATCAATATTAATTTATTGATTTTGATAGTTGTACTACAGTTTACATAAGAGAATGTCCTTATTCTTAGGAAAAGAGCCCAACGACTGCAGTAAAGGGCATATAGGAGTTCTTTGTACTAGTCTTGCAACATTTTTTTTTTTTTTTGAGATGGAGTCTTGCTCAGTCGCCCAAGCTGGAGTGCAGTGGCGCGATCCCAGCTCACTGCAACCCCTGCCCTCCGGGCTCAAGCGATTCTCCTGCCTCAGTCTCCTGAGTAGTTGGGATTACAGGTGTGCCAACTCGCCCAGCTAATTTTTGTATTTTTAGTAGAGACGGGGTTTCACCATGTTGGTCAGGCTGGTCTCAAACTCCTGACCTCGTGGTCCGCCTGCCTCAGCCTCCCAAAGTGCTGGGATTACAGGCGTGAGCCACTGTGCCAGGCTAGTCTTGCGACTTTTAAGTTTGAAATTATATCAAAGTTTAAAATGTCTATAAAAATTACTAGCCTGTATTCTCTGGCGAGGTGAGTTTCCAGATTTGTTCTAAGATATGTTCTATGTTTACTATATACCTCTGTACATAGCTTACATCCTCATAATAAGAACATACTAGTAGAAACATGGTTTTAGTTGAAGTCAAGTAGCTTTGAGATGATTATGGAAATCCTAATATGAGATCAGAGATAGGATTATATTCCTAAAGTCATAGCTGCAAACTGTCGGCTGGTGGCAGCAAAGGCAAAGAAACGGCACTGCAATTGAAGGTCCCAGTGAAGAAAACAAGTCACACACAAATAGGTTAGAAGGCTGCTGGAGTTTGGCAAATTTTCCTGGGCAAACACCTATTCTGTCTTTCTGCCACAAAGACTAGTCTAGTCTGAGCTAGGATAGGAGTCCAGGTTTTCCACATTAGGGTCTGCTCTAATAAATAGGCCTGGAGTAGTTTTAGGAATCTTAGGTAACAAAGGCCAATCTGAAGCAGAACCAAAATAACACCTTTCCTACCTCAAATCTCTGGATAGTCCTAGAAGCAGCTCAGCTCATGGACCACAGAGAAATAATTTAGGAGTATGTGTTTCTCACATGTGAGGGGTGCTATTGATAGTTTGGTGGTACAGGTTTTAGTTCTGGGGACTGTCTTACCTTATGAGCCATCTCCAATGGCTCTCCACCTTTTATTAGTATGCCATTTTGAGCACCTACTCCTGTACCCACCATCACAGCAGTTGGAGTGGCCAGTCCCAGTGAACAGGGACATGCAATACACAGAACTGTGATAGAGGCTTGGAAAGCAAATCGTATTATCGTTTCTGTTCGGGAGATACTTCTATTGTAGCCCTTTAGAAGAAAGGCATAAATTTTGGTTATTGATTTAGAGCTGTACAAAACAAAAGACACAAAACTTAACACTATTTAAATAAAACCACAATTTAAAAAGTGACATATCCTACCTAGCTACCTACATATATTTTTTAGTTACAGGTAAGAAAACACTTTCTTTCTTTTATGAATATAAGAAATTGGGACATACTGAGATTCCAGAATTACAAACTATGGACTGAATATAAGTGCTCCATATTGAGAATGAATGTTTTTATTAGAAATTTTCAGAAATAGCTGCAAATGTGAGACATAATTTTCAAAAAATTTGATACTGAATAAACAGAATTCTCAATCTCTGTAGAGTAAAACCATAATTCTGCCTTTCACACTATTCTTGAAAGACAATGAAAAAGAATCACATGGCATGCAAAGGGACCTTAGTCATATTTCAACAAAATCCTTTTGGACATAACAATGTGAACCAAGTATATCTGCTAATTAAGCTCTTAGTGACGTTCAGTGTTTGCTCATGTGGGAAAAATATAATTGGTAGTTTTAGAAGAAATCTAAGACATCCTGAACTCATGAGAAAAATTCCTGAAGGAAACACATTCCAAGCTACTTGCTGGTCTGTGCACGGGCTCACATCTGTAATCCCAGTACTTTTGGAGGCTAAGGCAGGAGGATCATTTGAGGCCAGGAGTTTGAGACCACCCTGGGCAACATGGTAAGACCTCATCTCTACAAAAAAAATTTGTGAAAAATTAGCCAGGTATGGCCGGGCACAGTGGCTCACGCCTGTAATCCCAGCACTTTGGGAGGCCAAGGCAGGTGGATCACCTGAGGTCAGGAGTCCGAGACCTGCCTGGCCAACATGGTGAAACCCCGTCTCTATTAAAAATGCAAAAATTAGCTGGGCATGGTGGCACATGCCTGTAATCCCAGCTACTTGGGAGGCTGAGGCACAAGAATTGCTTGAACCTGGAAGGCAGAGGTTGCAGTGAGCCGAGATCATGCCATTGCACTCCAGCCTGGGTGACAAGAGCGAAACTCGGTCTCAAAAAAAAAAAAAAAATTAGCCAGGGATGGTGGTGCATGCCTGCAGTTGCAGCTACTCGGGAGGCTAAGGTAAGAGAATCGCTTAAGCCCAGAAGTTTGAGGCTGCAGTGAGCCATGATTGCACCACTGCATTCCTGCCTGGGCAACAGAGCGAGACCCTGTCTCAAAAATAAATAAATAAATAAATAAATAAATAAATAAATAAATAAATACCAAAAAAACTTCCCAACAATCCTTTTGTTCAGTGTGTACTAAACAGACATGAATCACTTAAAGAAACTTTTTAATATTACAGTAGTGGGCTGGACACAGTGGCTCATGTCTGTAATCCCATATAATAATATCATATATTGAATAGGGTGTCCTTTCCCCATTGCTTGTTTTGGTCAACTTTGTTGAAGATCAGTTGGTTGTAGGTGTGTGGTTTTATTTCTGGGTTCTCTATTTTGTTCAATTGATCTACATGTCTATTTTTGTATCAATACCATGCTTTTGATTACTATAGCCTTGCAGTATAATTTGAAGTCAGGTAATGTGATGCCTCTAGTTTTATTCTTTTTGCTTAGGATGGCTTTGGCTATTTAGGTTCTTTTTCCATATGAATTTTAGGATTGCTTTTTTAATTCTGTGACAGAGGACATTAGTTTTATAGGAATTGTGTTGAATCTATAGATTGCTTTGGACAGTATGGTAGTTTTAATATTAATGCTTCCAATCCATGGGCATGGAATGTTTTTCCATTTGTTTGTGTCTTCTTCAGTTTCTTTCATCAGTGTTTTATGCTTCTCTCTGTAGAGATCTTTCACCTCCTTGGTTAAATGTATTCCTAGGTATGTTTTGTGTGTGATTATTGTAAATGGGATTGAGTTCTTGATTTAGTTCTCGAGTTGGACGTTGCTGGTGTATAGAAATGCTAATAATTTTTGCATGTTGATTTTATACCCTGAAACTTTACTGAAGTAGTTTATCTGGTCTGGGAGTCTTTTGGAGAAATCTTTATGGTTTTCTAGGTATAGAATCATGTCATCAGGAACAGAGATTTTTTTTTTTTTTTTGAGACGGAGTTTTGTTCTTGTTGCCCAGGCGGCAGTTCAATGGCGTGATCTAGGCTCAGTGAAACCTACACCTCCTGGGTTCGAGCAATTCTCTTCCCTCAGTCTCGCAAGTAGCTGGGATTACAGGTGCGTGCCACCATGCCTGGCTAATTTTTGTATTTTTTAGTAGAGATAGGGTTTCACCATGTTGGCCAGGCTGGTCTTGAACTCCCAACCTCAGGGGATCCACCCGCCTCGGCCTCCCAAAGTGCTGGGATTACAGGCATGAGCCACCGCGCCCGGCCGAAATGCATTAACTTCATTGTTTACCCAAAAGTTATTCAGGAGTTGGTTGTTTAGTCTCCCTGTACTTGTGTGGCTTTTAGAGTTCCTCTTGGTATTGATTTCTAATTTTATTCCACTGGAGTCTAGGAAGACGCTTGATCTGATCTAGTTGTTTTTTAATTTATTGAGACTTGCTTTATGATCAAGCCGATGATCAATGTTAGGGAATGTACCATGTTCATATGAGAAGAATATATACTCTGTGGTTATTGAGTGGAGTATTCCGTAGATATCTATTAGGGCCATTTGGTTGAGAATCCAATTTAAGTGCAGAGTTTCTTTGCTAATTTTTGTCCTTGATGATCTCTCTAGTGCTGTCAGTGGGGTACTGAAGTCCTCCACTATTATTGTATGGCAGTCTACCTCTTTTTGTAGGTCTAGCAGTATTTGTTTTATAAATCTGGATGCTCCAATGTTGGGTGCATATGTATTTAAGATAGTTAAATCTTCTTGTTGAATTGAGATCTTTATCATTTTGTAGTGCCCTTCTTTGCCTTTTTTTAAAACTATTGTTGATTTAAACTCTGTTTTATGTAATACAAGAATAGCAACCCCTGCTCTTTGTTTTCCATTTGCATGATAGATCTTTCTCCATCCCTTCACCTTCAACCTATGAGTTATTACCTTTGAGATGGGTCTCTTGATGACAGCAAAAGGATGGATCTTGTTTTTTTATTCCAATTTGCCACTCTATGTCTTTTAAGTGGAGTATTTAGGCCATTTACATTCAAGTTTAATATTGATATATGAGTTTTTGTTCCTTATGGTAGTGTTTGCTAGTTTCTTTGTAGTCTCAATTGTGTAATTGCTTTATAGGGTCTGTGAGCTTTGTATTTATATATGTTTTTGTGGTAGCAAGTATCATTCTTTTGTTTCCATGTTCAGAACTTCTCTGAACATTTCTTATAGCTCTGGTCTGGTGGTGATGAATTTCCTTACTGTTTGCTTGTCTGAGGAAGACTTTGTTTCTACTTCATGTATGAAGCTTAATTTGGCAGGATATGAAATTCCTGGTTGCCAGTTTTTTTTTTCTTTAGGGAAACTAAAAATAGGCTCTCAATCACTTCCAGCTTGTAACATTTCCACTGAGAAGTCTGCTGTTAGCCTGATGGGTTTTGCTCTGTAGGTAATTTGGCCCTTTTCTGTAGCTGCCTTTAAGATATTTTTCTTTTGCATTGACTTTGGATATTCTAATGCCTGTGTGCCCTGAGGATGGTCATCTTGTATAGTGTCTTGCAGGAGTTCTCTGGATTTGAAATTTCTTTACTGAATTTTTCAGTTCCAGCAGTTCCATTTGTTTTTTTTCTTAATATGGCTACCTCGTCTTGCATATCCTGAATCGTTTTTCTGGTTTCTTTACATTGGATTCCAACTTTCATTTGGATCTCATTGAGGTTTCCTTGCAATCCATATTTTAAATTACTTATCTGTCTGCTTAGGATCCGTTGCTAGAGAGCTATTACAATCGTTTGGCGGTGTGAAAACACTTTTTGTACTGCTAGAGTTCTTGCACTGATTCTTTCCCATCCAAGGGAACTTTTGCTTCCTGTTTTTGAATTTGCTATCATTTCCAAGGGACGTTTTCTTTCCTTCTTTTTTTTCCCTTGGGTGCTTTACTGTGGTGCATGTTGTGTGTGATCATTTAGCTTTGTTTTTGGTGCTTTCAGGGGTCCAAGGTGCTGTACAGATTACTTGGTTGTGGATAGCTTCTATGCCATAGCTTTCTCAGATGCTGCTTTTTGTAGTGAGGTATTAGCCATTAGAGCTAACAATCTCCTATAGGGTTTAGGGTGCAGAGGTCCCTGTGGACTTATCTTAAGGGCTAGAACTAAGCCCTTCTGTTAGCAGATTTTAAATTTTATGATGCAGTTCAGGATACACACCAGTAGATGGCACTCAAGAGTAAGAGACAGCAGGTAGGTTGGTGCCAGGTAGAAGCACCTGCCCTGATGCAGGGGTGGTGGGAAGAGATTATATTAGGGTGCACTCGCACTCCTGATCCTGTGCCAGCAAGAACATGATCAGCTTCTCTTTTGTGCCCTTGTTATAGGGCTCCTGACCTTCATTTCATAAGGACTTTGTCCTTTGGTTCCCATGAGTATGCCCCTCTGATAGCTACCACTAAAATGGGTTTGGGTTAGTCTTTTCCCCCAGACCAAAGCAGGCAACTCAGTGATTTGTCTGTCCCTCCTTGCTGGGACAGTGCCACTCTGTCGGGAGAGGGAGTTGAGCCTCGCCCTTGGAAAAAACCCAAGCGGCACGTGACTCACTTGCAGTAGGGGTGGAGCCACCATGAAAAGCATGAAATATGCTTTGTCCAAGTGTGCGCTAGCTGGCCCCTGGTGGGAAATAGCACTGCTGCATCCGCAGCACTGTAGGTGTGGGGGAAGGGTGTGGCAGGAGATGATCTTCTCTCCATGTCTAACCCTAATCCTATCTACCATACTGTCCAAAGCAATCTATAGATTCAACACAATTCCTATAAAACTACTAATGTTCTCTGTCACAGAATTTAAAAAGCAATCCTAAATTTCATATGGAAAAAGAACCTAAATAGCCGAAGCAATCCTAAGCAAAAAGAATAAAACTAGAGGCATCACATTACCCGACTTCAAATTATACTAAAAGACTATAGTAATCAAAACAGCGTGGTATTGATACAAAAATAGACACGTAGATCAACTGAACAAAATAGAGAACCCAGAAATAAAGCCCACACCTACAACCAACTGGTCTTCAACAAAGTTGACAAAAACAAACAATGGGGAAAGGACACCCTATTCAATATATGGTGCTGGGAAAACTAGCTAGCCATATGCAGAAGAATGAAACTGGACTCATATCTCTCACCATATAAAAAAATTAACTCAGGATAGATTGAAGACTTAGATGTAAAACCTCAAACTATAAAAACCCCAAGAAAACCTGGGAAAAACTCTTCTAGACATTATCCTAGGGAAAGAATTTATGACTAAGACCTCAAAAACAATTGCAACAAAACCAAAAATTAATAAAGGAGATTTAATTAAACGAAAGAGCTTCTGCACAACAAAAGAAACAATCAACAGAATAAACACAGAACCTACAGAATGGGAGAAAATATTTGCAAAGTATGCATCCAACAAAGGACTAATATCTAGACTCTATATGAAACTTAAATCAACAAGGATAAAACAACCCTATTTAAAAGTGGGCAAAGGGCATAAATAGACACCTCTCAAAAGAAGACATACAAGTGATAAAAAAAAACACATGAAAAAATACTCAACATCACTAATCATCAGGGAAATGCAACTTAAAACCACAATGAAATACCCCTTCACACCAGTCAGAATGGCTATAATTAAAAAAATCAAAAAATAACAGATGTTGGCAACGATGCAGAGAAAAGGGAACACTTATATACTGTTGGTGGGAATGTAAATCAGTTCAACCTCTACGGAAAACAGTCTGGAGATTTCTCCAAGAACTTAAAATATAACTACCATTTAACCCAGCAATCCCACTACTGGATATCTACCCAAAGGATTTTCTTATATTTATTTTAAATTGTTTTATCAAAAGACAACTGCATGTGTGTGTTTATCACAGCACTCTTCACAATAGCAAAGACATGGAGTCACCCAGGTGCCCATCAATGGTGGACTGGATAAAGGAAATGTAGTACATATACACCATGGAATACTATGCAGCCATAAAAAAAGAAATCATGTCCTTTGAGTAGCATAGGTGAAGCTGGAGGCCATTATCCTAAGTGAGTTAACGTAGGGACAGAAAATCAAATACTACATGTTCTCACTTATAAGCAGGAGCTAAACAATGGCTACACATGGACATAAAGATGAAATCAATGAGCAGTGGGGCCTCCAAAAGGTGAGAAGAAGGGAGGGGGGCAAGGGATGAAAAACTACTTATTGAGTACTATGTTCACTGTTTGGGAGATGGGGTCACTATAAGCCTAAACCCCAGCATCACCCAATATACCCATGTAATAAACAATATATCCACGGGCCGGGCACAGTGGCTCATGCCTGTTATCCCAGCACTTTGGGAGGCCGAGGCAGGTGGATCACCTGAGGTCAGGAATTTGAGACCAGCCTGACCAACATGGCGAAACCCCATCTCTACTAAAAATACAAAAATTAGCCGGGCATGGTGACATAAGCCTGTAATCCCCGCTACTCAGGAGGCTGAGGCATGAGAATCACTTGAACCTGGGAGGTGGAAGTTGCAGTGAGCCGAGATCGTGCCACTGCACTCCAGCCTGGGCAACAGAGCAAGACTCTGTCGCAATAAATAAATAAATAAATAAATAAATAAACAAACAAACAAACAAACATGCACATGTACCTCCTGAATAAAAAATAAAATAAATAAATACAACAAAGTAAGACTTTATTTACTTTGAGTAGGAGTCTCGCTCTGTTGCCCAGGCTGGAGTACATTAGTGCCATCATGGCTCACTGCAGCTCTTATCAGTAACAGTTTTACAGTGTTAGGTTAAGTTCTCAAATACTTAAATATTCATCCAAGAATTATAGATCTATATAGAAACACAGCTGGAAGGGGCTTTCATAGATTTCTAGGCTTATGCTTCCATAAACTTCACATATGTATACATGTTGTTATAGAAAAAGAACAGATTCTTGTCACACGACCAGGAAAAGATTAGGTCTGCAGACACTTTGAAGGGCGAGGGGAAAGGAATTTATTGGCCAAAAAGGAAAAAGGAAAAACAACTCAACAAAATGAGATTGAGTCCTGTTAACAGGCTCTCCACCTCACCGACTGAACCCCAGGTACCACCCAGGAACAGGTCAGTCCAGACTCCTTCCCTATACAAACGGGGTGAACTTCCAGGGGCCCCACCCCATCCTCCCAGTGCGTAGGTGGACATTATTTAGAAAGAATCAGTCGGGGGTAGGGGAGTAGGGCAGGCTTCATCTGGGACCAGCAGTCCGGTTTTTCAACCTTCAGGATGTTTTAGGCTTGAAAGTTTTCAACCTTCAGGGGTTTCGCAGGGGGACCCTTGGCTGTCACCTGCATCTGTCAATATGTTAGATGCTTTCACCTATACTAATTCCAATCCTGTATCTTAGGTACTATTTTCCCTATTTTACAGATAAGAGAACTGAGGATAGTAAAACTTACATGACTTAAAGTTTATATATCTAATTTGAGGCACAGTCCAGTTCTGCTTTACCACTTTACAACACCATAGACAGCATCAGAGAACTAGATGAGTAGACACTAATAATATCTTATATTTGTAAAGCATTTAATAAGTTACAAATTATTTCTAATATATTATTTAACCTTCACAACAACCTTAAGTTACACAAAATGGGTATTATTAAAACCTCACTTTATAGTTGAGGAAACTGAAGCTCAGAGAGCAATTAAGTAGTCTAAGATCATATTGACAGTAAATGACAGAGCTGAAATCCTGAGGTTTTCCTCAATATATCTATAGTCCTCTGTGAAAGCAAAACCATGTCAGAAATGAGACTAAGCATAACATGTAAAAGTTTGGTATTTGCTTTTGGAAAATCACCAGTCATAATAAAATTTTTTTTCCAAAAGGAAATTTTTTATATTTATAAAAATGCAAATATTATTCTTATCACTCTCCCACTCCAAACCTTTAAAGATCCTGGTAATTATTAAAGTTATTTCCAATGAATTACTAATGCAAAAGACTCACAAATTGTTCTGCATATAGTAACGAGTTATTACAAGTCACTTACAGGAAAGTAGGTTTCCACAATTTCAAAATTCAGAAATCCAATTACAATCCATACCAAGAGGGTGGCAATGGAAACAAAAACAATAAAAGGAACAAAATAGCCACTGAGTTTGTCTGCAAACTGCTGGATAGGAGCCTAGAATTAAAAATAACAACAATAATAAGAAGAAGAAGCATATCAAAGTCTTTTCTGATACTGAATGCAGAGTATATTTAGTAGTTAGCACAAATAGAAATATTTTAACAAACTTCATGTTAATGGCCAGGTGTGGTGGCTCACACCTGTAATCCCAACACTTTGAGAGACTAAGGCAGGATGATAGCTTGAGTCCAGGAGTTCGAGACCATCCTGGGCAACTTAGGGAGACCCTGTTTCTATAAAAAAAAATTTTTTTAATTAGCTGGGTGTGGTGGCATGTGCCCACACACAGTCCCAGCTACTCGGGAGGCTGAGGCAGAAGGATCGCTTGAACTTAGGAGGTCAAGGGTGCAGTGAGCCATGATGGTGCCACTGCACTCCAGCCTGTGCAACAGAGTGAGACCCTATCTCAAAACAAAAACAAACGAACTCCATATTAATGCAACTAAAATTTTTATTGGAAAACGTAAAAACTAGGTGAAGATTTATACTGAGAAGGCTTTAAAGAAAATAGTTTGTGTTTCTCCTAGGGAGTTAAGTTACCTTTGATGTTTGTGCCTCTTCCACAAGTTTGACAATTTGAGAAAGGGTTGTGTCTGCTCCAACATGTGTTGCGCAGATAAGCAGTGACCCGTTCTGGTTAATGGAACCAGCAATCACTGTGCTGCCAGGTTTCTTAGCCACAGGCATTGCCTCCCCTGTATGGAGAGTAAAGATAGATTTAAGGAGCATAAATGATCACTATCATGAAACATATCATTATTTGTTACTTGTCAAAAATATCTAGATATAAAATAGAATCTGAACAAATGCCTAGGTGAAAGTTGCTTTCCCTTTTTCCTTATATCAGTTCTAGGCCAATGCCAGGAATATAAACCTTGAACTGGAAAAACCTGTATGGTAGCTCTTGTTGGCAGATACTTTTAGAGTTTCACCCTAGTCCTAGAACATTGGTTCTTAACCTGTTCTCAAGGAACATTTAGAAATGTGGGAGGGAGTTTTCGTTTGTAATAATGACTGCACGGGATGGGGAAGGGGGTGCTACTACTTCGATTTAGTGTGCCAGTGCCAGGGTCAGGGGCACTGAATTGTACTACAGTATGTAAGAGAGTCCCCGAGAACTAAGAATTGCCCCATCCAAACTGGCAATAGCACCCCTATTGAGAAACACACAGTCTTGTTGGGCACAGCGGCTCATGCCTGTAATCCTAGCACTTTGGGAGGCTGAGGCAGACAGATGGCTTGAGCTCAGGAGTTCGAGACTGGGCAACATGGCAAAACTCGATCTCTACAAAAAAATACAAAAGTTAGCCAGGCATGGTGGCATGCGCCTGTAGTCCCAGGTACGTGGGAGGCTGAGGTGGGAGGATTGTTTGAGCCTGGGAGGCAGAGGTTGCCATGAGTCAAGATTGTGCCATTGCACTCCAGCTTGGGTGACAGGGTAAGACCTTGTCTCAACAACAACAACAACAAAAAAACAAAAAAGAAAGAAAGAAAGAAACACACAGTCCTAAATTATTTCCACATGGTTCATAAACTGAGCTTCTTCTAGGACTATCAGAGAGTTGAGATTGGAAAGGTATCATTTTGATTCTGCCTCAGATTGGCCTTAGTTACCTAAAATTTCTAAAACTATGCCAGGCCTATTCCCTTAGAGTAGACCCTGATGTGGAAAACCTGGACTCGTGTCATAGCTCAGATTAGACCAGTCTTTACAGCAGGAAGGGCAGAATAGGTATTTGCCCAGGAAAATTTGCCAAAGTCCATCAAGTCTACAGGAAACTGAGACAACTTCCTTTGGTTATGCATTCTAGCAGCTAATAATCTCCAGTGATAAAAGTCTTCAATAGTTGATACGGTTTGGCTCTGTGTCCCCACCCAAGTTTCATCTCTAATTGTAATCCCCACATGTTGAGGGAGGGACCTATAATCCCCACATGCCAAGGGAGGGAGGTGATTGAGTCATGTGGGGGCATTTCCCCTATGCTGTTCTTGTGATGAGTGAGTTTTCACGAGATCTGATGGTTTTATAAGTGTCTGGCATTTCCCCTGCTGGCACTTCTCTCTACTGTTGCCTTATGAAGAAGGTCCTTGCCCCCTTCACCTTCTGCCAAGATTTTAAGTTTCCTGAGGCCTTCCCAGTCATGCAGAACTGTGAATCAATTAAATCTCCTTCCTTCATAAATTACCCAGCGTTGGGTATGTCTTTAGAGCAGTGTGAAAACTGACTAATGTAGTAAATTGAGTAAGTTGTTACCACAGGGAGTAGGACACTGCTATAAAGATACTTGAAAATGCGGAAGCGACTTTGGAACTGGGTAATGGGCAGAGGCTGGAACAGTTTGGAGGGCTCAGAAAAAGACAGGAAAATGTGGGAAAGTTTGGAACTTCATAGAAATCTGTTGAATGGTGTTAGGTTTTTTTGTTTTTTGTTTTTGTAACAGAGTTTCGCACTTCTTGCCCAGGCTGGAGTGCAATGGTGCAATCTCGGCTCACTGCAACCTCTGCTTCTTGAGTTCAAGTGATTCTTCTGCCTCAGCCTCCCAAGTAGCTAGGATTACAGGCATGCTCCACCACACCTGGCTAATTTTATATTTTTAGTAGAGACGGGGTTTCACCATGTTGGTCAGGCTGGTCTCAAACTCCAGACCTTAAGCGATCCACCAGCCTCAGCCTCCCAAAGTGCTGGGATTACAGGCATGAGCCACTGCGCCCAGCCAAACTTGTTGAATGGTTTTGATCAAAATGCTGACAGTGATGTGAACAATGAAGTCCAAGCTGAGGTGGTCTCAGATGGAGATGAGGAACTTATGGGGAACTGGAGTAAAGGTCCCTCATGCTATGCTTTAGAAAAGAGATGGGTGGTGGCCGGGCGCGGTGGCTCACGCCTGTAATCCCAGCACTTTGGGAGGCCGAGGCCGGCTGATCACGAGGTCAGGAGATTGAGACCATCCTGGCTAACATGGTGAAACCCCGTCTCTAATAAAAAATACAAAAAATTAGCCAGGCGTGGTGGCGGGTGCCTGTAGTCCCAGCTACTCCAGCGGCTGAGGCAGGAGAATGGGGTGAACCGGGAGGCAGAGCTTGCAGTGAGCCGAGATTGTGCCACTGCACTCCAGCCTGGGCGACAGAGCGAGACTCCGTCTCAAAAAAAAAAAAAAAAAAAAAAAAAAAAAGAAACAAGAAAAGAGACGGATGGCATTTTTCCCCCACCCTAGAGATCTGTGGAATAGTGAGCTTGAGAGAGATGATTTATGATACCTGGCAGAAGAAATTTTTTAAGCAGCAAAGCATTCAAGACATGACCTACATTATTCTGAAAGCATTCAGTTTTATGTGTTCACAAAGAGATGGTTTGAAATTGGAACTTATGTTTAAAAAGGAAGCAGAGCATAAAGGCTTGGAAAATTCACAGCCTGACAATGCAATAGAAAAGAAAAACCCATTTTCTGGGGAGAAATTCAAGCGGGCTGCAGAAATTTGCATAAGTAACGAGGAGCCAAATGTTAATCGCCAAGACAATGGGGAAAACATCTCCAGGACATGTCAGAGATCTTGGCAGCAGCCCCTCCCATCAAAGGCCCTGAGGCCTAGGAGAAAAAATGATTTTGTGGGCTGGGAACCAGGGCCTCTGATGCTCTTTGCAGCCTCAGTGGCATCGTATCCTGCATCCCAGCAGCTTCAGCTCCAGTCATGGCTAAAAGGGGTCAAGGTACAACTCAGGCCATTGCTTCAGAGGGTGCAAGCCCCAAGCCTTGGCAGCTTCCACGTGGTGTTGGGCCTGCAGGTGCACAGAAGTCAAGAACGGAGGTTTGGGAACCTCTGCCTAGATTTCAGAGGATGTATGGAAATGCCTGGATGCCCAGGCAGAAGTCTGCTGCAGGGGAGAAGCCATCATGGAAAACCTCTGCTAGGGCAGTGCAGAAGGGAAATATAAGTTTAGAGCCCCCACACAGAGTCCCCAATGGGGCACTGCCTAGTGGAGCTGTGAGAAGAGGGCCACTATCCTCCAGACCACAGAATGGTAGAGATCCACCAACAGCTTGTACTGTATACCTAGAAAAGCCACAGACACTCAACACCAGCCAGTGAAAGCAGCCAGTGGCAGGGGCTGTACCCTGCAAAGCCACAGGGGTGGATCTGCCCAAGACCTTGGGAGCCCACTTCTTGCATCAGCATGACCTGGATGTGAGACATGAAGTCAAAGGAAATCATTTTGGAGCTTTAAGATTTAATGACTGCCCCAACGGATTTTGGACTTGCATGGGGCCTGTAGTCCCTTTGTTTTGGCCAATTTCTCCCATTTGGAATGGGAGCATTTATCCAATGCCTGCACCCCCACTGTATCTTGGAAGGAACTCGTTTTTGATTTTACAGCCTCATAGGTGGAAGGGACTTGTCTTGTCTCAGATGAGACTTTAGATTGTGGACTTTTGAGTTAATGCTGAAATAAGACTTTGGGGGACTGTTGGGAAGGCATGATTGGTGTTGAAATGTGAAAAGACATGACATTTGGGAGGGGTCAAGGGTGGGATGATATGGTTTGGCTCTGTGTCCCCACCCAAATCTCATCTCAAATTGTAATCCCCACATGTCGAGGAGGGGAGGTGATTGAATCATGGGGGCGGTTTCCCCTATGCTGTTGTCATGATAGTGAGTGAGTTCTCATGAGACCTTATGGTTTTATAAGCATCTGGTATTTCCCCTGCTAGCACTTCTCTCTCCTGCTGCCTTGTGAAGAAGGTCCTTGCTTCCCCTTCTCCTCCACCATGATTACAAGTTTCCTGAGGCCTCCCCAGACATGCAGAACTGTGAGTCAATTAAATCTCTTGGCTTTATAAATTACCCAGTTTCAGGTATTTCTTTATAGCAATGTGAAAATGGACTAATAGCATAACTAAAGCCACAAAGTAAATCTGAGGAAATTGATTTAATACAGTCTTAAAAGAACTTATTCTCTCTGTTCATAATTTAGTTATTCATAGCTTCTACAAAAAGTGCTTCATCTTTCATGTCTATTTTTCTTAACATTTTGGTCATGATCCTTTGAAAGAACATACCTGTGATGAGGGACTCATCTACCATAGAATGTCCTTCAATAACACGACCATCCACTGGAAATTTGCCTCCTGGAACTACTTTAATGATATCTCCACGTTGTACAAGTTCCACATCCACTTGTTCTTCACTGGATATAAGTTAACATAAAAAGCACCATGATAATATGCTTCCTACCCTGACCTCTCCATGTAAGCTCTTTAGTTCACGTCAAGCTTGTGGCTCCATAATTACTGCCAATGGAAGCTAGAACCAACATTTAAACTAGGAACTAGTATGTCAGTCTTGCTTACTGTTAGTGAACAGCACAGTAGCTAGCACAAAGTAGGCACTCTATTTTTTTGAACAGTCATTAAATTAAAAATGAAAGTTTTAAAAAATAATGTAATGGGTTTCATTTAACTAAAAATTTCTTTATTATGTAACTTTGCCTAAACAATTTTATTAGTATAAAAATGAGAAATACAAAAGAATGAAATATAATCAAGTCTTTAGCTTTATCTTCCAATTTACAAGTAACATAGGAGTTATAGAACAAGTTAAATGAAACCAAAAGGAAACAAAGGATAAATTCACATTGTGGGATATTCTACAGAACAACTGATGGCTATTTCTTCAAGTCAATTGTTTTGTGGGGAGGAGGGAAGGAAGGACAATGAGGAGAAAGAAGAGAGGCGCTGTTTTAGATTAAAAGAACATAAGCCATATGATAGTCAAATGCTATGATGCATGGATCTTGTTTGAATTCTATTTCAGGCAAAGAGACTTAAAACATTTTGGAGACAACAGGAGAAATGTGAATATGAATTGGGTCTTAGGTGACATTAAGGAATTAATGTTCATTTTGTTAGGTACAGTACGGTAGTATAGTTATATCAGAATATATCCTTTTTTAGAGATAACACAGAATATTTAGCCGTAAAACAATATGACTGAAATTTGGTTTAATACTACTGCAACAAGAAAGACAGACAAAATGGATAGATGAAGTATGGCAAAATGTGGATAATTTTTATATCTGGGAGACAGATTATGTGAATTCATGATAGTCCTTTTTCTACTTCTGTATATATTTGAAATTTTTCTTAAGAAGTTAAAAAAAGAGAAGAGGGAAGAGTGAAGATAAATACCTGAGGAGGATATTATCAGAATCAAGAGTTACAATAGTTGCTTCTGTAGCTTGTAGTGAAATTAACTTTGCAAGAGCCTCTGATGTTTTGCCCTATAAATTAAAACAAACACATTGAAAATGCTAAGGAAGAAAAAGTTCAGGTCTTAACTAAAATAAAAATACAATCTTTAGCATTTACCCAAAAGACAGCTTTAGGAATATTAATTTGTTTAAAAATTAATATGAAAATGTTTCACTTCAAAATGTTTGAATGTTTCACTTCAAAATGTTTCACTAGAAAATGTTTCACTTCAGAAAGACGAAGTACACAAAATATTTTATTATTTATTTATTTATTTATTTATTTTGAGACAGAGTCTCACTCTGTTACCCAGGCTGGAGTGCAGTAGCATGATCTCGGCTCACTGCAACCCCTGCCTCCTGGGTTCAAGCAATTCTCCTGCCTCAGCCTCCCGAGTAGCTGGGATTACAGACGCGCGCCACCATGCCTGGCTAATTTTTGTATTTTTAGTAGAGATGGGGTTCACCATGTTGGCCAGGCCGGTCTCAAACTCCTGACCTCGTGATCCACCCACCTCGGCCTCCCAAAGCGCTGGGATTACAGGCATGAGCCACCGCGCCCAGCCTAAAAGTACACAAAATATTTTAAAAGTATTATTAGGTATAATTTATGAAGAAATTATATAAATTAATAAGAAAAACATGAACCCAATAAACACACAGGCAAAGGACATATATAAGCAAATCATTCAAAAGGAAATATAAACATCCGATGATGAAAAAATGTTTATCCCCACCATTAATGGAAGAAACACAAACTAAAGTTACCCTGTAATACCATTTAATGTCTATTAACTTAGAAAGAATTTGTGGGGGGGATGCAATGCTGGTGAAGTTGTAGTAAAAATACTTCACTGACATACCCCTGCTGGCAAAAACTGTTACAACTTGTACCATGAACCAGAGAAATATTTATGCCCTTTAACCCAGTAAACACATCCTTTGTAATGTCTTCTAAGATATTAGCTCAATGGAAATGACTATTAGACATGAGTATGTTCAATGCAGGATTATCTAAAAATAAAAAATTAGAAACAATCTAATGGTGAAAAACACCTGAATGGTTTATTAAATTAAAGCAAACTGATGTGACAGACTTAGTCAGAAATATTAGATAATAATCTAGACTGCAAAAATGGTGAAAAACTTTATAGTGTTAAGGGTACAAAGTAGTATGAATACTACATTTGCAACTCTGTTAAGTAGAAAGGTATGTAGAATGGAATTAGAAAATGATTTACATTATAGCAAGGGAATATGGGTGAATTTTTTCTATCATTATTTTAAACCATGTGGTCATGTCAATTTTTCAATTAATAATGTAAGTAAATAAGTGATAAGTATTTCTCATTTGTCTCTCTTAAAATAAACAGACATACTGTACTATCTACAGTATTAATTCCATATTTGGTAAATCTTCTAAACTGATATTTAACTTAAAATATTGCCAAAATGAAAATACGTCTTTCAGTAAATGGTTAACTACATAAAAGCATGTATTTCCAATGATTGGCCTAAAAAATACTAAGGTCATTTATCCACCCAACATTTTAACAAATGTCACCCTTTCTTACTTTACCTTTGCTATATGTTCCAGCCATCGGCCTAGTGCAATAAACACAAACAGCATAGGGGGTGTGTCAAAGAAAGTAATAGGGTTCACTTTGGCTCTCTCATACATTGCAACTAGAAGAATAATCAAAGAGTAGGCAAATGCAATGGTGGTTGCCAGCACAATCAGTACGTCCATATTTGCTGTCTTATGCTTCAGTGCTTTATAAGCCTGAATGTAGAAGTACCAGCCTCCGAAAAACTGCAATATAGGAATGATAATCATTGAATTTTAAAAAATGCTGAAATTCACATATATATCTCAATAACTTAAAGTATCAATAGTCACTTTCTTTGGCTTTTAGCTAATCCATAAACACTAAAGGGAGATTAAGCCAAAACAATCGTGTTTGTATTTCAATAGATGTACATGCAGAGGGAGGTATTCAAATTGCTGCACAAGCCTGTGGGGCTATCATCTATGATCCAATGGATATTCCATAATACAAGGAAAATCAGATATTTCTTCCTTTTTTTTTTTTTTTTTTTTAAGAGACAGTCTTGATATGTTGCCCAGGCTGGTCTCAAACTCCTGGCCTCAAGCAATCCTCCTGCCTCAGCCTCCCAAGTAGCTGGGATTATAGGCATGAGCCATCACACCAAGCAGATTTTTCTTTCTGAGGCTAGCAAAAACAAGAACTAAGAAAGGAATTACATTTTCTCAAGGATTTTTTTGTATAAAACTCACCCATCTTTCCAAAACTCAAACTAACTGGTATATCACAAGCTACGAAATCTGTTGGCCGTTTTTGTTGGTAAATATAACTGGAAAGCTTATTTCATTAAAACAGAGAAACTAAGATGTTTTTTAAAATCATTATTGCCTTTTATAAGGATCAGATAAAGGAAAAGATTTATTTGATAGAAGTATTCTATTCCAAAGTAAAAGTTTATCTCGAAAAAAGAGTTTAAAACATACAGAAAGTAATGAACTGAAGTGCCAGGAAGAAATAACAAAAATAAAGTCATTGAGCTGGGTGCAGTGGCTAGTGCCTGGAAGTCCCAGCTACTCAGAATGCTGAGGCAGAAGGAATGCTTGAGCCCAGGAGTTCAAGACCACAGTGAGCTGTGCTTACACCACTGCATTCCAGCCTGGGTGACAGAGCAAAACCCCATCTCTAAAAAAAAAAAAATAGATAAATAAAAATTTAAAAATAAAATAAAGTTATATACAGTAGCAGATATAAATACCAAACCCAAAAAACTTGAACTCTTTCTTAGGGGTTAAATGGCATCTATTATCAACTTAAATAACTACCCAGTTGAAGATTATTTTTGTAAAGCATATGGCATAAAATGATCAGACTTCTAGCTAACATCAGTTTTGTAGCTGAAAATAAACCTTGCCTGCCAAATTTTGCTTATTTTTTATTATTAACAAATATATTTGCTAACAATTCACTTGCCTGTACAGGTACACACAATAAAAAGGACAGCAAATTCATAACAGACAATCCTGGAAGAATCTGGCGCTCCAGGAACATAGAAGAATGAAGGTTGATCATTTCTTCTTTACTCATGTTTTGATTATGGTGAAGAGTTGCAAAGTGGTGGTCCATAACCATCATATATATCATCAGCCCCATTACAGGAATACAGAAAAACAGACTCACAAGAAAAGACCGTCTCCATCTTATATGGAAAAAATAAAAAAAGAAAAATCATGGTCATAAATAGCTAATGGGTAAAGATTCTACATACTACAGAGAGATATACATTGTGACCATTTCATCCAGTATAAGGATGATATTATAAAAACTGACATGCAAAAAAAAATTTGTAATAAGGAGTCAAAATCTGTTTTTTACTGACACTCCAAAGTACTTACTGTCTTATTTCTCGTTTATGATCTAAGTGACTTGCTGACCGATCCTTCTTGACCAAAGAAGCTTCAAAACCTAAGCTCTAAGGAAATTCATGAGAAAAAAATTATTTCACTGAACATATAAATATTGTATAGAGAAATTCTAAGCCATGGTATTGTCATTAAGAACAGTTCAATTACTGAGGGCAAGTCACTCTGGGGAATACAAAGATGAAGATGTGCTTCCTGCTCTTGATTGCATTTGTTTCCAATCTTTCATCAAACAAATAAATATTTCCTTAATGCTAGTTAATATGTATCCTATATATAAGAGTTTAACTCAAGTACAACTGTCCTCAGTAGAGGTTCTCATTAATAGGCCATAAAAGCTAGCACCAGGCCGGGCACGGTGGCTCATGCCTGTAATCCCAGCACTTTGGGAGGCCAAGGTGGGCAAATCACAAAGTCAGGAGTTCGAGAGCAGTATGGCCAACACGGTGAAACCCCGTCTCTACTAAAAATACAAAAAATTAGCTGGAAATAGTGGCAGGTGCCTGTAATCCCAGCTGCTCGGGAAGCTGAGACAGGAGAATCGCTTGAACCCAGGAGGCGGAGGTTGCAGTGAGCTGAGATCGCACCACTGCACTCCAGCCCAGGCGACAGAGTGAGACTCTGTCTCCAAAAAAAAAAAAAAAAAAAAAAAAAAGCTAGCACCATACTAAACATATTATTCAAGGCCTTGCATATGCAGTATTTAGTCTTGTTTTATCAGAAAAAGAACATGAACAAAAATCATTTTCCCCAATAAAACAAAGTATAAAAAGGAAACTACCCCTAAGCAAGACTTATCTGACCATAGATAGTAATACACATTACATTTCCAACTGCTAGGGGAAATGCTGCCATCTTACATTTGTTGGCAGTGCACAGTGAATAGAACAAGCATGAGCTTTTGGAGTCAGAGTAATTAGGCTCAAATCCCAGTTATGACAGTTATTAGCTATGTGACTTTGGATAAGTAACTTAACTTCTCTTAACCTGGGTTTCCTCACCTCCAAAATGAATATGACCACATTGCTGTGGGAATTAAGGGTTGAAGCTTTGCAATCTTGGTAACTGGCACATAGCAGGTACTCAGTAAAACTAGTTTCACAAAAATGGTAATGATAATGTCATCTATACAAATAGGATCTTAACTGAACTAATAAAATGCTTTAAATCACTTGAACACCAATTCTATAGCATACTGAAACTTTTAAAATACATTCACATGTATTACCACTTAAGACTTATTGAAGAACACAGGATGAATCTGTCACAAAGAAAGGATTGTGTTTGTTTGTTTGTTTGTTTTAGAGACAAGGTCTCTCTCACAGTAACCTTCAACTCCTGGACTTAAGCAATCCTCCTACCTCTGCTTCTCGTGTGATTAATACTATGGGTGCGTGGCACCACACCTGGCTAGTTATTTTAATTTTTGTTGCAGAGACAGGGTCTCGCTACATTGCCCAGGATGGTCTTGAACTCCTGGCCTCAAGTGATTGTGCCCTCTAGGCCTCTCAAAATGCTGAGATTATAGGCATGAGCCACTATGTCCAGCTGGGTTTAGTCTTTTAAATTTCTTACTTTAACTTAAAAATAGGTCTTTTGTTTTGACCTAACAAACAAAAAGCCATCAAGCAGGATCCTTCACTTTCTTAGTAACTAATATGAATCTTATTTATAACAAATTATACTTTATTTCCATTTTCTAAATATTTTAAGTGTTTTGTGGTTCTAACTTGTTTGCTCCTGATTAATAGTGTAAATGTACCTTTGCCTAACTTTTCCTGAAAAAGACCAAAAAAAAAAATGCAGACACGTTTACATTAAATTTTGAGACAGATCTTGTTTGAAGTGTTCAAAGGAGTTAGATTTTTTTTCATTGCCTCTATCTGATGCAAACCAGAAATGATTCACGGGAGTGCTGATTAAATAGGTAAGAACACAGAAACATAAATTCTTGGCACTTACTTCAATTGTATGGATAATATCTCTAGGACCAATAATTTCTGGGTCATATTTAATATGTGCTTTGTTGGTTGCCAGGGCCACGGAGCAGTATAGGATCCCTCTGTGTTTTGTGAGACTAGACTCTATTTTATGTACGCAGGAGGCACACGTCATTCCCCTCACCTGTTAAAGACAAAGCATTTGTTCTTCAGGAATATACTTTTTCCACCATTAAACATGAGTTACCACTTTTTTTTTTTTTTTTTTGAGACAGAGTCTCTCGCTCTGTCGCCCAGGCTGGAATGCAGTGGTGCGATCTCGGCTCACTGCAACCTCCGCCTTCCAGGTTCAAGTGATTCTTCTGCCTCAGCCTCTCAAGTAGCTGGGGTTACAGGCATGTTCTACCATGCCTGGCTAATTTTTTATCTTTTTTGTAGAGACAGGGGGTTTCACCATGTTGGCCAGGCTGGTCTCGAACTCCTGACCTCAAGTGATCCACCATGCCCAGCCCGAGTTACCACTTTTTACTAAAAGGACTCATGGGTTTGCCACACAAGATCTTAATTGCACTACTAGTATGCTTTAGATATGATCATTAGGATACCATTTTTATACCACATTGAACAAATATATGGTCCCAGATAGAAGAGGATCTCATTAAAAGTCTCCAAATTCCTGTCACTACTACTCAGTGATAGAGGATTTGACATTTATTATTGTTTCTTGTATCCAGTCTTGCTTCCCGCTGGATTTTTTTTTCATCCTGCTGAAGTATATAATCACTAGTATAGCTTTCAGTGAAATTAATGGATGGCAAAAGTGTTTTGACTTTGTATGTCTAAAAATGTATCTTTCCCTATATCTTGAGTGGGGTTATAGTTTAGCTGGGCGTTAAATTATAAAATGGATGGGCATGACTTCTAGAATGACTGCGTGAGGAGCTCAGCAAATCCTTTCCTCAAAAAGCAATGATAAAACTGACAAAAGTATCAAAAAACAGCCATTGAAATACTCTGGAAATTGACCAAAGGGCATACCACAAATTAAGAAGGATTTATTCAAGAATATCTGCTGAAGGTATATCAGTGCAAATGGTGCAGTAAGACCTCTAAAATTCTCTCCTCTGTAAAAGCAATGAGAAAACTGGCAGAAATTGTAAGAACCATCTTTTTCCAGAAATCTGGAAATCAAACAAAAGCTTGCAGCAATCTAGGAAGCATTTATTCAAGAAAACAACATGGAGTACAAAAAATAGAATGAATAAGACATAGTATTTCATAGCAGAACAGGATGACTATAGTCAATAATAACTTAATCATACATTTAAAAATAACTAAAAGAGTATAAATGGATTATCTGTAACACAAAGTATAAATGCTTGAGGGGATGGATACCCCATGTTATATGATGTGTTTGTTACTCATTGCATGCCTGTATCAAAACGTCTCATATACCTCATAAATACAGGCACATGCACCTATGCTGTACCCAGAAAACTTCTGTGCTCTAAACAACACCGCCAACGAAGAGGCAATACCAGAATGGGAGAAAATATTTTAAAATCATATATCAGATAAGGGACTTGTATCTAGAATATATAAAGAATTCTTACAACTCAGTAATAAAAAGACAAACAATCCAATTAAAAATGGGCAAAAATGGTCGGGCGCGGTGGCTCACGCCTGTAATCCCAGCACTTTGGGAGGCCGAGGTGGGCGGATCACGAGGTCAGGAGATCGAGACCATCCTGGCTAACACAGTAAAACCCCATCTCTACTACAAATACAAAAAATTAGCCGGGCATGGTGGCAGACGCCTGTAGTCCCAGCTACTCGGTAGGCTGAGGCAGGAGAATGGTGTGAACCTGGGAGGCGGGGCTTGCAGTGAGCCAAGATCGCGCCACTGCACTCCAGCCTGGGCGACAGAGCGAGACTCCGTCTCAAAAAAAAAAAAGGTAAAAATTCGAATTGTTTCTCCAAAGAACATTTATGAAAGGCCAATAAGCACAAGAAAAGATACTCAACATTATTAGTCATCAGGGAAATGCAAATCAAACCAAAATGAGATACCAGTTCACTTCCACTGGGATAGCTATAATAAAAAGGTAATAGCAAGTGTTGACATGCATATGGAACAATTGGAACGTCAATACAATGTTGGTGGGGATATGAAATGGTACAGCTGCTTTAGAAAACAGTCTGGCAGTCCCTTAAAAGGTTAAATATAGAGTTACTAGATGACTTAGTAATTCCACTTCTAGGTATATCCCCAAGGGAATTAAAAACATAAGTTCACACAAAAACTTGTATATGAATGTTCATAGCAGCATTATTTATAATAGCAGCAATATTCATAAAGTGGAAACAACCCAATTGTCCATCAACTGATGACTAAATCAACAAAATGTAGTATATTCATACATTGGAATATTATTTGGCAATAAAAAGGAATGCAGTAATGATACATGCTACAACATGGATCAACCATGAATACACTATGGTAAATAAAAGAAGCCGGTTACAAAGGACCACATATTATATTATTCCATTTATATGAAATGTCCAGAATAGGCAAATCTATACAAATACAAAGTAGATTAGTGGTTGCCTAGGGTAGAGAGAGTAGAACCAGTACAGGTAAGAGATTAGGACTAAAGAATGACTACTAATGAGTTTTATTTTAATGGGGATGAAAATGTTTTGAAATCAGATAGTAGTGATAGTTGCACAAGTCTGTGAATATACTAAAAACCACTGGGTTGTACACTTTAAAAAGGTGAGTTTTATGGTATTTCAAAAAAGCTATTATTTTTTAATCCTTAAAAACATATAAAAACCTACTCATTCTTTTTCATTGTTTTTAATAGCTACTCAGTATCCCATGATATGATTGTATCATAATTTTAGTCCCTAATGACTGAAATTTAGTTTTTCCTCATATTTTGCTATTGTAAACAATACTATAATGAACATCTTTGCATACATGTCATTTCATACATATGCAAAAATGTCTGTTGGATAAATTCCTACAAGTGGAACTTCTGAGGCAAAGGCTATGTGCAATTTCACCTTTGACAGATATTGCCAAATTCCTCTGTTGGCATCTTGTATCAATGTACACACCACCAGCAATACATGAGAGATCAGAAACATAGTGTTAACAAAATTGTTAACTTTACCAATCCAATAAGTGAAAATGGTATTTCAGTGCCATTTTAATTTGCTTTACTCATTACGAATGAAGTTGAACATCTTTTCATGTTTAAGAGGTATTGTTTTTGCTTTTCTGTGAACTGTCAGTTCATATCCTTTATCATAGAAAAGAAATTTTGGGGTGCTGACGCTTGTCTTATTGATGTATAAAAGTTCTTCGTATATGAAAAAATTAACCTTCATCTATGATATGAATTATAATTATTTTAATTGCCTTTTGACTTTCCATTTGGTGTCTTCATCCCAAGAAGAAATGTTTAGGTATCTGAATTCATCAATCTATTAATCTTTTCTTTTATTGGTTTTGTATCATATTTTAGAAAAACGCTTCCAAATCCAATATTGTTTTTTTCTTCTTTTTTTTTCTTTTTTTTTTTTTTTTTTTTTTTGAGATGGAGTTTCACTGTTGTTGCCCAGGTTGGAGTGCAATGGCGTGATCTTGGCTCACTACAACCTCCACCTCCCGGGTTCAAGTGATTCTCCTGCCTCAGCTTCCCGAGTATCTGGGATTACAGGCGCGTGCCACCACGCCCGGCTAATTTTTTGTATTTTTAGTAGAGACGGGGTTTCACCATGTTGGCGAGGGTGGTCTTGAACTCCTGACTTCAGGTGATCCACCCACCTCAGCCTCCCAAAGTGCTGGGATTACAGGCATGAGCCACCGCACCCAGCCTCCAATATTGTTTTATAAATGAATTAGATGTTATCATTGGGAAAAGCTAGATGAAGGCTACATGGAAATTTTCTGTACTTTTTTTTACTTACTTGTGAGTCTAAAATTATTTCAGTGATGTATTGATGGATTGATGTATGATAAAGCAAATATAGTAAAGTATTAATTGTAGAATCTAGCTGGTGTATATAGGATATCTACTGTACAATTCTTCTGACTTTTCTGTATGTCCGAAAGTTTCATAATATTGAAAAAAAATGCTCCAAATATTTCTTCTAGTAATTTCATGGTTTCATTGTTTACATTCAATTTTGGGAGGCAGGCAATGTCTCACTCTGTCACCTAGGCTGGAATGCAGTGGCATGAACACAGCTCACTGCAGCCTCAACCTCCCAGGCTCAAGCAATCCTCCCACCTCAGCCTCCCAAGTAGCTGGGACTACAGATGCACACCACCACACCTGGCTAAATATTTACTTTTTAAATTTTTTATTTTTATTTTTATTTTTTTATTTTTTGAGATGGAATCTCACTGTGTCGCCCAGGCTGGAGTGCAGTGGCGCAGTCTTGGCTCAGTGCAACCTCTGCCTCCCAGGTTCAAACAATTCTCATGCCTCAGCCTCCCGAGTAGCTGGGATTACAGGCGCATGCCACCACACCCAGCTAATTTTTGTATTTTTAGTAGACACGGGGTTTCACCATGTTGGTCAGGCTGGTCTTGAACTCCTGACCTCAAGTGATCTACCCACCTCGGCCTCCCAAAGTGCTGGGATTACAGGCGTGAGCCACCATGACTGGCCTAAATTTTTACTTTTTGTAGAGGCGGGGTTTCACCTGTTGCCTGGGCTGGTCGTGAACTCCTGGGCTCAAGTGATCCTCCCACCTCGGCCTCCCAAAATGCTGAGATTACAGGCGTGAGCCACCACACCCAGCCTACATTTGAATTTTTGCTTAAACTGGAACTTATTTTGGTACAAGATTTTTTGTTTTAATTTTTTAAGTTATACAAATAAATTTAAATACATTCTAGCTGTAAAAATTTCAATGTTGAAAAGATGCAAGTTTCTCTTTGATCTTCTCCCTCAATCCCGCTCTCTTCCTGAGATAAACAGTGTTAATCATGTGTATATACTAGTCCTTTCTCTAGGTGTTTATATACATATGTAAGTACACATACATGTAGTTTTGCATTTTTTACTAAATGAGATTATGCCATAAGTATTACACTGCAACTTGTTTTGCTTAAGTAAATAATACATCCTGGAAATCTTTACTTGTCAGTTAATATTGATCTATTTTACTCTTTTAACATCTGTATTGTATTCTATAATATGTCTATACAGAATTTATTTAAACATTCCCTATTAAAGGACATTTAATATAGATTGGTTCTAAATTTTTGCTCTTAAAATTATATAATAAATATAATCTTATGAATGTTCACATTCCTTTTTTTAAAAAAACAAAGTCTCATTCTGTCACCCAGGCTGGAGTGCAGTGGTGTGATCTCAGCTCACTGCAACCTCCGCCGCCTGGGTTTAAGTGATTCTCATGCCTCAGCCTCCCAAGTAGCTGGGACTACAGGAGCACACCATCACACCTGGCTAATTTTTGTATTTTTCATAGAGATGGGGTTTCACCATGTTGGCTGGGCTGGTCTCGAACTCCTGACCTCAACTAATCCACCCACCTCAGCCTCCCAAAGTGCTGGGATTTACAGGTGTGAGCCACCATGCCCAGCCCTATATGATCATATTTCCACAGGAAAGAATCCTAGCAGCTGATTTGCTGGGTTGGAGAAAGTGATCACTTTAAATCAATATGCCTTACACAGGTTTTATGACTTTATAAAATTTGAGTCTTTAATGCACTGGAATTTATTCAATTACATGCTACTAGATAGGAATCATATTATATTTTAAATGTTAATTTTCATTTATTCATTCATACCCAATTCTTTTTTGGTTAACAGAGATACGACAATTATCTTTTTAAATTCCATGCTTGAAGAGTACCATTAGATCATACCTTATCCTTCCATTTTCCAGTTTCCTTAATTTTCATAATATTTTCCCCACCTTTAATTATCTTCACAACTCTTCTCTGAACCTTACCAAGTTTTTTTTCTGGAAGTTTTATTAATCACACAAAAAATCTTACTTACAACAAGTTCCAAAACACCATCTCCTTCATCAGCATTTTCTATCACAGTGGCTCCAAATCCAAGTTCTCGGATGAACTCTGCTATCATTGGGGGTTGTATAACAGCAGGATTATACCTTACTTCTGCCTTGCCAGCCATCAGGGCCACAAGTATAGAATATATTCCTAAGAGCATTGATAAGAAAAACAATACAGATAACATTCTTTTTAAAAAGAGTAATGTTATAATTACTTCTTAGTATTATCAAGTATGAAAGGATTTCTCTTAAGTATTAAAGGATTTGAATCTGGAGAAATTTAACTTTTATACCAGTCTTGACCCCAAACAATTAGAACTATTCCAAAACATAGCCTGATTTTTCTTAAACTTTTTATTATGGAAATTTTCAATTATGTGTGTGTGTGTGTGTGTGTGTGTGTGTGTGTGTGTGTGTGTGTATAAGAACATAATAAACTTGACGTACCTATCACCTTGCTTCATAATACTTGGCTAATCTTATTTCATATACATTCCTACACCCTCCACTCGCTGCTCTCTACCTGGATTATGCTGAAGCAAGTCCCAGACATCACATCATTTCATGTGTAAATATTTAAATATGTATCTCTAAAAAATAGACTCTTTTTAAAAAACCATAATACCATTTTCACACCTAAAATAATTCTTCAATATCATCAAATATCCAGGCAGTATTCACATTTTTAAAATTGTCTTATAACTGTTTACTAGTTCAACAGTTTTTTGTTTGACTTGGATGCAAATTAGGCCTATGAATTGAAATTGCTTGAGACTGTATCTTGTAAATATAAAGCATTTTTAGAAATTAATAAGACAGAGTACTAGAGAAAGGGACTCGGCTGGGCATGACGGCTCATGCCTGCAATCCCAGAACTTCGGGAGGCCGAGGAGGGCAGATCGCTTGAGTCCAGGAGTTCGACACCAGCCTGGGCAATATGGCAAAACCCTGTCTCTACAAAAAAAAAAAAAAAAAATACAAAAATTAGCTGGGCATGGTGGTGCATGCCTGTGGTCTCAGTTACTCAGGAAGCTGAGGTGGGAAGATCACTTGACCCTGGGAGGTGGAGGCTGCAGTAAGCAGTGTTCATGCCACTGCAATGCACCATGTGTGACAGAGTAGGATCCTGTCTCAAAAAAAAAAAAATAGAGAAAGGAACTCATGCACTTATGAAATCATAATTGTAGCAAAGAATCCAATAATATACCAACATACACATTATAATATTATCAAATAATAGTCATTTATTTAAATTATCAGGTTTTAGTGTCTGGCACACAGTAATCTAAAAAGCTCTTATTCCTAGAAAAAAAGTCCCACGCAACTTGTTAACCAAAAAAAGGAGTTCATTTTATGGCAGTCATGCTGTTCACTAGTGCAAACCTTTTTTTTTTTAACAACCATTCCACTTTTCTAGGCCAGCTATTGCTGTCATTGCCAGGAAGAAAATTAATTCTACATAGCAAAAATAGAAGTTCTTTCTAGGATTCTGTGGCATTTGATGGCTACCTGACAGGGAATGGGGATCAACAGTCCATAGGTCAAGTCTGAGGTTTGATAAAAAAAGAAAAAATGATTAAATATTAATTTAATAGCTTTAAATAAGTAAACAGGATAGTGGGGGTTGTAAGGGGAAGTGGGGATGGTTAATGGGTACAAATAAAAAGAATGAATAGGACCTAGTATTTGATGGCACAACAGTGTGACTATAGTCAATCATAATTTAATTGTACATTTAAAAGTAACAGAATATAATTGAATTGTTTATAACACAAGGATAAATGCTTGAAGAGATGGATACCCCATTTTCCATGATGTGATTATTATGCATTGCATGTTTGTATCAAAACATCTCATGTAACCTATAAATATATATACCTATTATATACTCACAAAAATTAAAAATTAAAAAAGTAGATAAACGTATACACAGTGAAAAAAAGAAAAAATACCTAATATAATCTAATTTTTCTATATAAAGTGCTTACATTTTGGGCTTTGTTGGTATCAAACAATTCAGGTGATCAGTTAATGGGAAAGTGTCAGTAATATAGGAAAGGTATAGAGAAAGTAGGAAAAAATCTTTTTGCTTCAGCTGAATGTAATCTATGGGCAAACAGAAATAGAAGGGAAAATTTGATTTTTCAAATGTCAAAAACATAAGTTCAATACTTATGTAAATTGCAGATAATTTAAAAAAACTCTTCAAACTATAATAAGAACTCTTTCTGTTCATTTTTTAAAAATATAACGCAGGGCCAGGTGTGGTGGCCCATGCCTGTAATCCTAGCACTTTGGGAGGCTCAGATGGGTGGATCACTTGAGGTCAGGAGTTCAAGACCAGCCTGGCCAACATGGTGAAACTCTGTCTCTACTAAAAATACAAAAATTAGCCAGGCATGGTGGCATACACCTGTAGTCCCAGCTACTAGGGAGGCTAAGGCAGGAAAATCGCTTGAACCCAGGAGGTAGACGCTGCAGTGAGCTGAGATGGTCCTACTGCACTCCAGCCTGGGCAACAGAGTGCGATTTGTCTCAAAATATAAATTACATATATATTTATATATTATATTAATATACATTTATATATTTATATATAACATATATTATAAAATATATATAAATATATATGTATGTTGCAGACTAAATTGAGAGAAGACCAATGCTACTTAGTTAAAAACAAAATGAATGTAGTGACTCCAGCTAGGCTAAAGTTATTTCTAACTGGGCTAAGAGGTTGTAAAGGGGATAATATGGAAGTAATTGGAAAAATCAGCTTAACAGACTTAAAAAAAATTGTAACTGGCATAGGCATTGCTTGTCTCATGAAGAAAGCTATTTCTGAATTGCCCCAAAATAGTTGGTTCTTAAATTAAATAGAAACCTTGAATGCTTCTTTTCATTTTCATTTGCTTGGCAACCTCCCTCCTTTTCTTTTTTAATTAATCTAAAAAAAGAATAATAGAAGCTTTAGCCTTGAGTGCATTCCAGTTAGAAATAATGGAGGCTAAACTGAAGCAGAAATCATAGAATGCAGACAAGGTAATATTGAACTGAAGATGACTCCGTATACCATACATTTTATTATAATAATGTTCTGCCCTTAATATATGAGGTGAGGTGATTACTACATACATTTTGAGTAATTTTCTCAATGGTGGGGATAAGCTTATACTAGTCCATACTTCTTTATTTAGCTCTGTGACTAACCATATGTATCATTAAGACACCTAGGGCTAGGGCAGCCAAAGTACCAAATCTATGACTTTGATCTCATGAAACCTCATCACATATCTTTTTTTTTTTTTTTTTTGAGATGGAGTCTTGCCCTGTTGCACAGGCTGGAGTGCAGTGGCTGGCACGATCTCAGCTCACTGCAACCTCCGCCTCTCAGGTTCAAGAGATTCTCCTGCCTCAGCCTCCCAAGTAGCTGGGACTCCAGGCATGCGCCACTACACCCAGCTAATTTTTGTATTTTTAGTAGAGATGGGGTTTCACCATGTTGGCCCGGCTGGTCTTGAACTCCTGACCTCAGGCGATCCGCCCACCTCGGCCTCCCAAAGTGCTGGGATTACAGGTGTGAGTCACCGTGCCTGGCCATCATCACATATCTTTATGGTTAACAAATCTACTGTGCTATACTGGGAAGTCTATAAATATGAGTGCAAATTAATAAGCTAAAACATCTGAGTGTGACTGAATTTAAAAAACTGTGGTATACATTTTCTAAGATTGTGTAACCTAAAATTAACACTTGTATACAATATTAAGTAACTTGTGAACATTTTTACCACAAGCAAAGAGAAAAATATAATTCTAAACAAACTTGTTTTTGGTCTGGTGCTTGGTCTGGGTATAGTAATAATGAAATTCTTAAATATTCTATTTGTCAGTTTTAGGCATAGCTTTAGAAGAAAATTTATGGGCCGTGTGTGGTGGCTCACGCCTGTAATCCTGGCACTTTGGGAGGCCAAGGTGGGTGGATCACCTGATGCCAGGAGTTTGAGATCAGCCTGGCCAACATGGTGAAACCCCATCTCTACTAAAAATACAAAAATTAGCTGGGCGTGGTGGTGCATGCCTGTAGTCCCATCTACTTGGGAGGCTGAGGCAGAAGGATCGCTTGAACCCAGGAGGCAGAGGTTGCAGTGAGCCGAGATCGCGCCACTCCACTCCAGCCTGGGCGACAGAGCAAGACTCGGTCTCAAAAAAAAAAAAAAAATTATGTTCCTTAAAATCCAACACAACCATGATTGATCTATAAAAAATAGTAATCTCGTGTATTTCTTTCTGCTATTTTTTTTTAACGAATTTCATAGATATACAAATGTGATCATGAGGTAAACAAGAGAGGAACTTTATCTAAGGCAGCAAAACACTAAGGCTTCCAGGACATCGGGGTTGTCCCACACATTACTGAAAATCTTTATGAGGCCTTACCAAGAATCATAACATAGTTACAAAACATGTAAGAGAACAAAAAAGATGGAGCTCCCAAACTAGCACATAAAATAACAAGCTTCAAGAGTGTCTCACCTTCTTCCCGCCTTAAATTCCGTTCAATGTTTGCTACACAGGAAGCGCAAGTCATGCCAGTGACCTGTATGTAACACTTAGATGAATTCTTTCCTTCCTCCTTGTCTTGAACTGGTGTCATCCCTTTAGTATAAAATTCATTAGTTGAAGTCAAAAGCGGCATTTCCGATGAAGGCTGAGCTATTACTACCAACGGCTCATTCGTGTCTGGTAGAAAGGGAAAGATTCTTTTCATTTGCAGTATTGATCATTCAATTGCATCCTTGCCTTGCATCACAATCCATACCTCCAGGCACTGACAATCTATTCCTTTAAAACGAGCAAGTTCCTACTATCCGTTAGCATTAAGTTATCTCTACACTTTCCTCCGCAGTGACTTCCAATTTCAATACTTCCCATCCCAATTCCCAGGAAAATCTGAGCTACCTGAATAAACAAAACTTTTTTTCTTCTAGCCATTATCTCTACTCCCAATCTGAGAGACAGAGTAGTTTGTTAATGGATAGTTCTTATTTTTATAATGAAATTTTACCATCATGTTGATGATTGGCATACTGGCATCAAAGCAATTCACAGTATATTAAGTGGAACAAAAAGCAATTTGCAAAACAGCATTGCAGTGTGCTGATTTTTTTTTTTAATTTTAGTGTATGCATAGATGAGAACATGCATAAGAAAGCTGGGCGGGGGGGTTACATACCAAACTATTAACAGTGGCTACTTCTGGGGAATAGGGTTAAGGCAGGAATAGAATGACAGACAGATGAATAAATTTCCTCTATCTATACTTCTATATTGTTTGAATTTTTAACATACATATATAATATTTTTAAATTTTAATATGTCTGTGGACAGTGGAAGAAGAGGCAAGGAATAAGTCAGCAAAAAGTCTATTTTGCACAATGGAGTATTCAGAGAATCTTTATGGACTGTGGAAGCTCATATCATCCCAGAAGCTCCCCTGAAGTCTCTGAAATTCTGCTATTTTGTTTTAGTTTATCCACTGCAGTATTAGTTACCTCCCAAGAAAGGAGAAATTATTCTAACACATCCCTGCACCTGAAAAAAAAAAAAGCCAAAGATTTTCTCCTCCCCTGTAGAGAAAAGGAAGAAAAGAGCAAATTTCCACTAGTCTATCTAATTTGTTCATTCTTGTCCTTGGACAAAATACCAGCTCATGTCTATTTAGCTAGCAGACAAAGGAACCCCTGCACAGAAGAGCTGGTTTTCAGGATGTTGAAGATGAGCAAGTTTGGAAGAAACTTTAACAAAAGCCTGACCACTTCCCTACAGAATAATGTAGACTTCTCAAATAAGTATATTAATGCCTCTTAAATCTGAATGCATACACAATCACCTGGGGGAGCTTGTTAAAATGCAGGTTCTGACTCAATACATCTAAGGTAGGGTCTGAGATTCTGCATTTCCACCAAGCTCTGAGTTGATGGCAGTGCTGCCAGCCTAGGTCTGAGTATAGCAAAGGACACTTTAAAAAAATAATTTCAACTTTTATTTTAGATTCAGGAGGTACGTGTACAAGTCTGTCACATGGGAACACCACATGACACTGAGGTTTGGATTTTGGATGATTCCAGCAAAGGACACTTTGAATAGTAAAGTGTTCCTTAATTAGCCTGTCTCTGGTCTTAATTGAATCACTTCAGAAAGATACTGATTCAGATTGTGAGAACTTTATTTAGAACACAGACTGTGAAATTTACCAAATAGTACTGCTGTTATGCTTTTTTAAAAACCAAAGAAAAACAAAAAGGAGGCTGAGTAGCCAAAAAAAAAATCACTTTGGTTTTGAATAAAACCACCATTTTAATCCAACCAGAAGGTTCCTTCATTCTCTCATAATTACTATTGAGACTTAATTATGAACTTGGACAATGAAAAAAAAAGTTTTTTCTGTTCATCACTTTACCTGTTGTTCCAGAGCAATTTCGTTATTTTAGGTACCAGAGGTAACCTGGAATACCATCTGTAATTTTCACACTCTGGAAATACAGTATTATATTAAAATAAGTCATAAGAGGTAGTCCCTTTTAGCTACCTTAGCATGACCTCTAAATAAAGATCCATAAAATTGTATCCTTTAGCTCTGTGAGTGTGGCAAGCAAAAGAGCAAAGCCTTCTTCATCCTCCACAGAGACAGTAAGGGTGTGAAAAGGTCACAATGAATTTTAATTTTTTAATTTTAATTTTAATTTTTCTACAGGCTGTAACAACACTACTTAAACTTTTAAATAAATTCAAAGGAAAATTGATTTTCCTGCACTTGAGGCAACAACTACAAATGATTCCAAATATTTCAAGAAAGAATTTCCAGTCTGATACTCAAAACCGATGTGAAGTTCAGCCTCTGGTGTAGTGTGAAGAATACATAAATAATCTAAAAATGGCTTTAAAATAATCATAAACATCATGTCTGCAGCTTACTCTCAAATAGTTCAGAAAAAAATGTATGTATGTGTGTGTGTATATATATATATAAATGTATATCTATCTATTAAGAGAGAATGATAAACGATGTAAAATATTAACTGTGGAACCTGCATGAAATTGGTAAACAGGAATTCTCTACTATTTCTTGCAGTTTTTTTGTAAGCTTGAAATTAGTTAAAAATAAAAAGTCACGGCTGGGCACGGTGGCTCACGCCTGTAATCCCAGCACTTGGGGAGGCCGAGGCGGGTGGATCACAAGATCAGGAGATGGAGACCAGCCTGGCCAACATGGTGAAACCCCGTCTCTACTAAAAAAAATACAAAAATTAGCCGGGCATGGTGGCGTGAGCCTGTTATCCCAGCTACTTGGGAGGCTGAGACAGGAGAATCGCTTGAACCCGGGAGGCGGAGGTTGCAGTGAGCCAAGATTGTGCCACTGCACTCCAGCCTGGGCGACAGAGCAAGACTCCTTCGCAAAACAAACAAACAAACAAAAATAAAAAGTCACAAAATGGAAGGAATTTAATCAAGTATTTAGATTGCTTTAATTGGTTAGTGATTACTTCATATATCATGCCTTTTTACTTTAAGGAAACGATAATACAGATAGTCAGGATAAAAGGCATCTCCCATTTTTCTCACTACCTCTTTTTTTTTTTTTTTTTTTTTGAGATGGAGTCTCGCTCTTGTCACCCAGCTGCAGTGCAGTGGCGCAATCTCGGCTCACTGCAACCTTCGCCTCCCACGTTCAAGCGTTTCTCCTGCCTCAGCCTTCCGAGTAGCTGGGATTACAGGCGCCCACCACCACGCCCGGCTAATTTTTTTTGTATATTTAATAGAGACAGGGTTTCACCATGTTGGCCAGGCTGGTCTCGAACTCCTGACCTCAGGTGATCCACCTGCCTCGGCCTCCCAAAGTCGTGGGATTACAGGCGTAAGCCACTGCGTCTGGCTTCTCACTACCTCTTTTAAGATTTATAGCTCACCTAGGACTAGTATGATACAAAGGCAAAATGTGTCAATCCTTCTGTCTGAGAATGGGTGGCAGAAGTAGGCTGTGAGACCTGGATCAGCACTGACACTTACACTTAAAAAATGGGTAGTTACAATTCTGGTGAAATCTTAAACTCTAATCTCTAGCAGAATCACAGAATGCAGTCACTTCATGTCCCGATAATATGGGTCACTGTAGTTAAGCTCTATCAATTCTTTTATGGTGACATTCACTATGCCAAGGTTTTTTACCTACCCATCATGGCCATTAGTATGTATGTTATAAGCCCTAACAGATGCAGGGCATATAACTGGCTCCTGATAATCATTTGTTGAATAATTGATTCCCGGGGCCCTTAACAATAGTAGGTTGAGGTAAAAGACATTGTTAAAAGTTACTGAGGCCAGGCATGGTGGCTCAAACATGTAATCCCAGCACTTTGGGAGGCCAAGGTGGGTGGACTGCTTGAGCCCAGGAGTTTGAGACCAGCCTAGGCAACAAACTGAGACTCCATCTCTACAAAAAATAGAAAAAAATTAGCCGGGTGTGGTGGTACACGCCTATAGTCCCAGCCACTCAGGAGGCTGAGGTGGGAAGATCGCTTAAGCCCCGGAAATTAAGGCTGCAGTGAGCTGTGATCGTGCCACTGCACTCCGGCCTGGGCAACAGAGCGAGATTGTGTCTCAAAAAAAAAAAAGTTACTGAACTTGCTGCAGTCATAGTTCCTAAGGACTAGGTAGATGCTATACATGGTGCCAGAGACTGATCAAGTACTCTTGAATTCCATTTACTAGTTTGATCAGCTAAGGTAATTGAAAAGTTGCTTTTACTCTGCTCACATTTGTTATATAAACCTTCATAAAATGCTAGCTTTTTTGGCTGGGCACTGTGGCTCACACCTGTAATCCTAGCATTTTGGAAGGCTGAGGCAGGCAGATCACCTGAGGTCAGGAGTTCAAGACCAGCCTGGCCAACAAGGCGAAACCCTGTCTCTACTAAAAATACAAAAATTAGCCGGGCATGGTGGCATGCGCCTGTAATCCTAGCAACTCAGGAGGCTGATGCAGGAGAATTGCTTGAACCCGGGAGGCAGAGGTTACAGTGAGCCGAGATTGCGCCATTGCACTCCAGCCTGGGCAACAGAGTGCAACTCTGTCTCCAATAATAATAATAATAATAAAATGCTAGCTATTTTAGCTATCCATATTGTGCTAAATCTAAGCACAAAAATGGGCAGTTTCTCCTGTATCTTTGGGTCTTCATTCTGAAGGCTCCCATGTCATGTAAAACTATGATCAAATAAATTTATATGGCTTTTCTCCTAAAAAAATGCTAGCTATTTTAAATTATAATATTTAATATTATACAGTCATGAGTCACTTAAACGATGGAAATATGTTCTGAAAAATGCTTTAGGCAATTTCATCATTGTGTGAACATCATAGAGTGTACTTACACAAAACTAGATGCTCTTTATATTTGTATTTATATATATTTTTTCAGATGGAACACCAAATGTCCTAGCACCATTAATGAATATCAATCATTTCTCCTACTTGATCTGCTATGCCAATATCAAATGCCTTATATGAGGTTTCTATATATGCTCCATTATAATCTTACGGGACCACCATCGTCTATGTGGTCCATTGTTGATCGAAATGTTGTTATGACTGATATTATTGCCTTCAATCAAATTTCTGGACTTGTTTATGTAAACAAAGTTAATGTAGATTTAATTTAGAATTTAAAGGTCAATGAATCACATTATGTAGATCAGTGTTCTCAAACTTTAATGTGCAAATGGATTACCTGGAGAGCTCATTAAAATTAAAATGTAGAATTTGATTTACTGGGTCTGCAGTGGGCCAGAGTCTGATTTCTAACAAGGTCCTAGGTGCTGCTGGTCTGTGAACCACACTTGCAAAAATGTGAGTTGCAAAAATATAAACCCAAGTGAATAGAAAAAAATTCTGTTTTTGAATCCAATCTGAAAGTTTATGATGCCCTTGCTTACTGTAATGACAGATACCACATTTGAACATGAAAAATATTTCAGTTTTATACCATATGTGATGTAAGATGATTATAATTGTGTTCCTATATGTAAGAGGCATAGGAATATTATAATGTAAGTAACTTGTTTTGGTGATACTGATATAACTAATTTATGTGGTGCTCATTATTGACAACATAATCCATTATGCATATCAAAGTATTTTAATTTAATAGAAGCTCTGAGAAATAATCCAACATTATGAAGTAGTGAAATGTGAATCAATATAATTTCAAACACTGTCATTTTCAAAAATTTAAAAAAATGTAAGTGGGCCAGGTACAGTGGCTCACGCCTGTAATCCCAGCATTCTGGGAGGCCGAGGCGGGCAGATCACCTGAGGTCAGGAGTTCAAGACCAGCGTGACCAACATGGTGAAACCCTGTCTCTACTAAAAATACAAAAAAATTAGCTGGGCATGGTGGCGTGCACCTGTAATCCCAGCTACTCAGGAGGCTGAGGCAGGAGAATTGCTTGAACCCGGGGCACAGAGGTTGCAGTGAGCCGAGATCATGCCATTGCACTTCAGCCTGGGTGAAAGAGCAAGACTCCATCTCAAAAAGAAAAAAAAAATTAAGTGGTGATAGGTAAAATGAAATTTTGCTGAAACCAATTTTAGTCATTTTTATGGCTCCCTGATATAACTGCACTTATTTCCAACTTAAATTTTTCTTCTGGTTTCATAATTATTTCCTTCAGCAATTATGGATTTCCTACACTTCGTTCAGACTTTTGGTACTAGAGTCCCTTTAACATTTTAGTGTTCTGTATGAATTTTCTAATAGAGAACTATGTATCTCTTTTTTAGAGCAAAAGAATCTAAAGGCCAGGCATGGTGGCTCACGCCTGTAATCCCAACACTTTGGGAAGCAAAGGCCGGTGGATCACGAGGTCAGGAGTTCAAGACCAGCCTGACCAAAATGGTGAAACCCCATCTCTACTAAAAATACAAAAATTAGCCAGGCATGGTGTCAGGCGCCTGTAATCCCAGCTACTCAGGAGGCTGAGGCAGGAGAATTGTCTGAACCTGGGAGGCCAAGGTTGCAGTGAGCTGAGATCATGCCACTGCACTCTAGCCTGGGTGACAGAACAAGATTCCGTCTCAAAAAAAAAAAAAAGAATCTAATTTTTTAGATTAGATTCTAATCTAAAATCTATTTTTTTAAAGACAGGGTCTTGTTCTGTTACCCAGGCTGGAGTACAGTGACACGATCACGGCTCACTGCAGCCTTGACTTCCGGGCTTAAGCAATCCTCCCACCTTAGCCCGCTGAGTAGCTGGGACTACAGGTGTGTGTCACCATGCCCAGCTGATGTTTTGTATTTTTTGTAGGGACGGGGTTTCATCATGTTACCAAGGCTGGTCTCGAACTTCTGGGGTCAAGTGGTCTGCCTGCCTCAGCCTCCAAAAGTGCTAGGATTACAGTTGTGAGCTACCGTACCAGGCCAGATTCTAATTTAAAAATCTCAAAAAATTGAGATTTTCTACATTAGAGTGAGAATTTGAGATGGTAATGTAAAATGGAACAGCTACTTTGAAAAACAGTCTGGCAGTCCCTCAAAAAGTTTAGCTGCCATGTGACCCAGCAATTCCACTCCTAGATATATACCCAGGAGAAATAAAAACATATGTTCATACAAAAATTTGAACTCAAATTGTTCATAGCAGTGTTATACATAATAGGCAAGAGAGTGGAGACAATCCAAATTCCCATCAACTGTTGAATGAAAAAACAAAAATGTGATATATCCATACAATGGAATAATATTCAGCAATAAAAAGGAATGATGTTCTAATACATACTACAACATGGATGGACCTTGAAAACATTATGCTAAATAAAATAATTCAGGCACAAAAGGACAAATGTTGTATGATTCCACTTAAATGATGTCCCTAGAATAGTCAAATTCAGAGACAGAAAGTAGAACAGTTGTTATCAGGAGCTTGGGGAGGGGAAGGAGAAATGGGCAATGACTGCTAATGGATATGTGATTTCTTTTGGGAGTGATAAAAAGTTCTAAAATTATATAGTGATGATGGCTGGAAAACTCTGTAAGTATACTAACAACCACTGGGTTGTGTACCTTAAATGGGCAAATTTTATGGTATGTGAACTATGTGTCAATTTTAAAAAGTGAGAATTCTATAATTTCTACCATTTGTCACCAACAGAAAAATTAAGAACTAAAAATTAATAATGGTATGTCTCTAAGTCCTCTCTCACTGACATTAATCTACCATAACAATTTAGACATGTGTTTAGTAAAATTTTTTACTCAGATTTAGTGAGCCTAAAAAGGGAATACTACTATTTGATATCTTTCATTCTAATCAGGATAGCAAAGATTAATTATATTGTCCAGAAATTGGTTGTAAAACGTTTCAATTGTTATTTCAAGCAAAAAATTTCATTTGGGCATTTTCCAGTTTAATTCAAGGCCAGGTTCAATTCTGGTTCAAAAGAACAATTTCACATAATTAAATTCCATTGAATATACATTTTTTGTTTCAGTTCAAAGGTAAGAGCTGTCAGGAAATACGAAAACTTTGGGACAGCTCTGGAGTCAGTTTAATTTGAATGCCTAAATATAAAATTATAGTTAAAATCCTATTATTTATTTCAACTACTTTTGTTTTTAAAAGAGCACTGGCTTCCCCCATTATATAAATACATAGCTACATACATACATTCTTATTGTAAAAACAACTTATAAAACCAGGAAACACAATGGAAACAAAAATCACATTTATCCTACCACCCAAAGATAATCACTGTTAAAATTTTGGTTCATATCCTACCAGGAATCTTATTCATATACATAAACAATATATACATGGCGTAAATTCAGATACATTTCTTTATAAAATTTTGATCACATTGTATATATAGCTTTTCAGCTTTTTTTCATTTAACAAAATACCTCAGACACCTTCCTGTGGCATTAATTATCTTTAATACCATAATGTTTTATGACTTCATAGCATTTCATCATGAGTTATTTATTGTTGCACCACGAGTTATTGTTTCCAGTTTTTAAATATCATAAGCAATTATACAAACATCCTTATGCATCTTTGTATATACTGCTGGCTACCTCCATAGGACATATTTGCAAAAGTGGAATTACAGTGCCTATGAATCATTTCTCATTGATAAATGCCAAAAGAAGCAGCAAAATGGAAGTAAAAGAACATTAGGGTAATCAAAGAAAAAATGATAATTACCTGACAAGGTAGCATCAAATCCCATGTCTTCTATTGCTCCTCTCAACGTTTCTGGAGAGGTTAGTAGAGGATCATACTCAACAGTCCCATTGCTATTTGCAAGGGAGACTCGTATGGATTTTACACCTGGCTTTTTTGATATGACACCCTCAATAGACTGCACACAGGAATTACAAGTCATGCCATCAATGTTTATCACAGTTTCTTGTGTCAGAGGCTGGCTAACTACATTCAAAGGAATCTTCTGAAGAGATGAGCTGGAGGGAGAGTTTGAGGTACTCTCAACTTCACTTGTGATACTAACTCTATATAGCCCCGGTGATACAGCCTCTATTGCTTTTCTCAGGGATTCTGGAGTGACTGAGCTTGCATTATACTTCACAATGGCAGACCTATTCTCTAAAGAAACTACTATGCTGCTTACATATTGGAGTGCAGATAAAGTACTTTCAATATTTGACACACATGATTTACAATGCATGCCATCAATGATGAAAGTGGCTGTTGAATCATTGGTATATGATGGACTCCTTTGCTGTGACCCTTCTGAGGATTTAACTGGTGTGTTCTTTAGACGTTCTACATCAATAGCTCCCAATTTGAGGTACTTGGGCTGCTTTTTGACAAATGCTGGAAAGCCCATAGCTTCAATCTGCTTTTTCATTTCCTCTACTGAGATAAGATGAGGTTGATAAACAATAGTAGCTTCTTGATTGTCCAGGGAGACTAGTTAATAAAAAGAAATATAATTAATTCAGTTATTCCTGGGCTACTTCAGAAAACATTCTGTTTTCTAAATCAATAACCACAAATAATTGTTTCTCTCTCATTCTTGTCATCATATTTTCTTAATTTTTTTTCTTTTCAGAAAATGTTATTGGCATAGACTAGAAACAAGTAAGAGATATGACCACTGTAGCTATGGTCTCCAAGTTTCTCCATGCCTAAGTAAAATATATTAGAGGTAAAGAGTACCCTAGTCATGTTGTGTTAAGAACCTTGAATTCCATGAATTGCCAACCCAGCTGCCTTTTCTTCAGTTCAAGGTTTATGTAACCTTTAATTATAATCATTAACTTTTAATCCTGGGAATATGCTGTACCTCAATGATACAGCAAGCACTCTAGTCTCATGGATTCAAAACTCATGCTTAAGAAGAAAGCAAAAAGTTAAAAGATCAAAACAGACACCTAAGCCTTACAAAACAATCAACACCAGACACATTACCTTTAATTCGCTGAACACCTTGCAGTTTCCCAATTTTTCCTTCAATAGTGCTAGTACATGAATGGCAGGTCATCCCTTCCACTTTCATCTTCAGCACGACTTCACCAGCTTGAGCCATACTATGATCTTCACAAGCTCCTGACTTTTTCTCCAGTGTCCCAGTATCTAAACTGAGTTCTGGAACCAGCTCTTTTATCTGATTGGCATTCACTATAGAAGGGATTATTGTCACTGCTACAGTTCTTTTCTGAGGGTAAATTTTAATGTCTGTCACACCCTTGGTCTTCAGCAATGTGCTTTGGATATGGTCCCATGGCAAAGTCAGTGACGCCGTAACAGTCAGAAACAAGGTGTCAGTTAAAACAGGGAGAGGGTCAGGATTATGGATAACAGCATCAAAGCCCATGTCATCAATAGCTTCCTGTAGGGTCTTTGGAGTCTGTAGTTTAGGGTCATAAATAATAGTTGCATTTTTTTCTTCCAGTGATACCTTTTGGAAGGAAATTCCAAAAGTCAGTTTAATTAAATTCTATCACACAGGATTTAAAATAATAATCATCACACCACATTCAAGAAGAGTGAGACAACTCAATCTAATGGAGTTTCCCTATTAGTTTTCATTTTTACTCTTCTTGTTAGAAAGAAACATAAAATGTCTTGTGTACCTACAAGAATGGTAAAGTTATATATGCAGACATATGTGACTGTGGTACCTATCAGGCATTTGAAACATGTATATTGACAAACACACCCAAGAATTTCACAACAGAGTACAAACTACTCTTTCCTTCCATTCCTTTCATAAATTACTCCAACACTTCACACTCTACCAACTGAAAAGGTTATACATGAAACAGGATCAGCTACAGAAAAATAAAAGGTAATATGAAGTTTAATATTTTAAAATGTCCAATTTCCTAAAAATATGTATAACTATTATATGTCAATTTAAAAAAATAAAAATAATGTTCAATTAGGATAACTTTGTTGGCAAGAAAAGTATAAGCCTGCCGGTTTATGAGTGAAGGCAGTATTCATAGGATTTTATAGCATATACTCCTATATCCCCCTAAGTCACTAGAGCATACTATTAATTTTGTTCAAAATAAGAACATCTTTATTGTTTTGCCCAATTAGATTATAAAACAATGATTATATTCTTGTAGCTTAGTTACTGCATATAATTTAACTACTGTCATGATTGCATCTCTTTGGCTGACATCTTACAAAGATTCATGATGAAGACACACACACACACACACACACACACACACACACACACACACAAATACTGGGTTGGGAGTCAGAAGATTTAAGTTCCAGCATCAATTCTCCACTTATTAGCTAACCACACCCATTAGTTCTACCATCTGAAAAATGAGAAAATATGCCCTATTATCTTCCAGGGCTATTACAAGGATCATACGAGTAAATAGGAAAGTTCTTCGTAACAGCAGTGAATTATATAAAATTAAACATTGAGCAACTAATATTTATTGAGCACTTATTATGTGCGTCAGGAACTGGGATTCTCAGGATACAAAGCTGAACATGTCACAGGAACAATAGGACAGAGAATACAGAAAAGGGATACCCATTCATCCCTGGGAATATGGGTCAGAAAAGTATTCTTAGGAGAGATAATACCTGAATGTTAAAGGACAAACAGGAATCAGCAAGGATATATGAGGCAGAGAATTCCAGATGAATGGAAACAAAAAAGTAGAGAAAGATAAGAGGCTTGAAAATTAGGCAACTGCTCTATTATGGGGTTCTATATGCCAATAATGGTTGTGATTTATCCTATAGGTAATAGGAAGCCATGGAAAAGTTAAGCAGAGAATTATGTGATTAGATTTTCATTTTAGAGAAGGATCATTCTGGAGGCAGTGTGGAAGATGATAGTGTAGTAGGGTGGAGTGATACAGGAGGGAGGACTATCAGCTAGGAGGCTACTGCAATTGCAAAAGTAGTGCAATAGAGGGTCTGAATTAAGACATGAATACTGGGGGCAAAGATAAAAGAGGCAGCTCCAAGATACATTCAGGAGGGTAGGGCCTCCTAACAAGATGTATAGGATAAAGGAGACGACTAGGATGACTTAAAGGTATCTGGCTTGGGCCAGTGGATAGATAGATGGTGGCGTCATTAACTGATATCAGAAAGAGAGGAGGAAATCAGGAGGAAATTAAGAGGTTAAAGTGGAGGGAAAGGAGAGATGATAAATTCAGTGCTGGACCTATTGATTTTTGAGATGGCCATAGGATATTAATATTCAAAAAAGCAGTTAAATATAGGTGTTATTAATTTCTAGTGAAAAGCTTTGCTCTATAAAATAAAAACTCAAAATTATAATTAAAAGTAATTCAGCATAGAAAATCTCTCTTTAAATTGTCTACAATAGTTAAATCTTTCACTTATTTTAATGAACATATTTTTATTTCTTCCTTTAGCTTGATAATTGATGACTGTGTATTTGGGTGAAAATGTGAAATGTACCCATGGCATGGAAAGTTTCTAAGACTCTGATAATTCTAGTTGGCTAGCTGGTTCTTAGGGATGGAGGAAATCACTAGCATAAATGATCCAAAACAGAAGTGGGGAAATAAATTATATTTGGTTTTGGATAATACTATATAACATTTTCCATGAAAAAAAAATGCAGAATAGTCAAACCACGTATAGTTGAGACATATAGTATTGAAAGACATGCAATATAAGAGTAGCCACCATCAAATGAAGGCTTTTGTGTCCTTGTGTTTTTAAAGAAGGCCTCTTTTAAACTTTAATTTCCCTCCCCTGAGGTGATTTTAGGGTTAAGAAAATGACTGTAAATAATTTAAACTTTCCAACTAAAGGGGAAGATGGAGAACAGAACAGTGGTTTCCAGGGGTTAGAGGTAGGGAAAATGGTAGCAAGAGGGAGTTTTTTAGGGGTAACAGGGCTGCGCTATGTCCTGGTTGTGTTGGTGTTAAACAAATCTATACATGTGTTAACATTCACAAAACTAAAAAAAAATTTCATAGAACTATATACCCAAAAAAAGTCTATTTTACTAGATGATTATTTTTTAAAACAAAAAAAACTATTAAATAAGATTAAAAATTCAGTTCCTCGGTTGCACTAGCCACATTTCAAGTGTTCATTGGCCAATGTGGTTAGTCCTACCAGACAGGGCGGATACACAGTATTTCCATCATCACAGACCATTCTTGGGTGGTATTGCTCTAGGTACTACTATACTTTTTCTGATAAAGTACCAACGTAAAGGATTCTTGCCCTTTAAATACGTTGTATCCGGTACATCTTAAACAAGACCTGGTTCCCCCGCACCCACCCCCCCCAAAAATGTCAATTTACCAACATAGCCAATCAGAAATTGTTCTCATTTTAAAAGCAAAAATCACTTCCTCAGGCCAGGTGGCACACGCCTGTAATCCTAGCACTTTGGGATGCTGAGGTGGTTGGGCAGATAGCTTGAGCTCAGGAATTCCAGACCAGTCTGGGCAACATGGTGGAACCCTGTCTCCACAAAAAATACAAAAATTACCCAGGCATGGTGACACACTCCTGTAGTCCCAGCTGCTCAAGGGGCTGAGGTGGGAGGATTGCCTGAGCCTGAAGGTCAAGGCTGCAGTGAGCCAAAGTCGTGCCACTGCACTCCAGCCTGGGTGACAGAGTGACACTGTCTCAAAAAAAAAAATCACTTTGTCACTGGATGGTTTGCTATACTTTCTAACTGCTTTAGCCTATCTTTTATTTATAAAAGGCATAAGAAAACTATGCATAAAATACTACACAAAAGAGAAGTCAAAGTACCCTACGCTATTTGCATGCTGCAGATGAGAAAACACTTCCTTTAGTAAATTCTATTTCTGTTTTAAAAGCTGACCAACCACACTCAGCACAAACAAAAGTATCCCTCTTTGGGGTAACAGCACTCAACTTTGCCTCTGAATGTTAGATAGCAAAGAGACTTTTCAAACCTAAGGTCTCAAAGGAAACAAATTCACAGTACAGCTCTGGGTGCTAAATCTTTGGGCAGGAAGTCAAAATGGTACTTATTGGCTGGGCGTGGTGGCTCACACCTGTAATCCCAGCACTTTGGGAGGCTGAGGTGTGCGGATCACTTGAGGTCACAGTTTGAGGCCAGCCTAGCCAATGCAGGAAAACCCGTCTCTACCAAAAATACAAAAATTAGCTGGCCGTGGTGGTGGGTGCCTGTAATCCCAGCTACTCGGGAGGCTGAGGCAGGAGAATCACTTGAAGAACCACTTGAAGAACCACTTGAAGAATCACTTGAAGAACCTCGGGAGGTGGAGGTTGCAGTGAGCCGACATTGCACCACTGCACTCCAGGCTGGGCGGCAAAACAAGACTTCGCCTCAAAAAAAAAAAAAGGTACTTATGTATTCAACAAATATTTATTGAATGTCCATTATGTGCCCGGCACTATGCTAGCTGCTAGAGATACAGTGATGAGCAAAACCAGGCAGACTCCATAGAGCTGGAAAGTGCTGGCGGCAGTCTGATTCCGGGTCTGTGCTGCTCTCCTTTCATATGTCCTCTAACCCCAACCCCTGCTCCAAAAATAACTTCCCTTCTCTGCCCTACCCCACCTTCCTCATTCCCCACATTGCTCCAATATTTCGACAGCTTGTCTTTTTCTCTTAATCTTTTATTAGGAACCAATGTTGTTATTTTTATTTTCAGAGGAACTATTTTTCCATTATATCAATCGTTCCTCTGGGCCGGAGTGGTGGCTCATGCCTGTAATCCCAGCACTTTGGGAGGCCGAGGTGGGTGTATCACTTAAGGCCAGGAGTTCGAGACCAGCCTGGCCAACATGGTGAAACCCCGTCTCTACTAAAAATGTAAAAATTATCTGGGCATGGTGGCGGGCGCCTGTAATCCCAGCTACTCAAGAGGCTGAGGCACAAGAATCGCTTGAACCCGGGAGGCGGAGGTCGTGCCACTGCACTCCAGCCTGGACAAGAGAGTGAAACTCCGTCTCGGAAAAAAAAAAAAGTTCCTCTGAAAATAAATGTAACAGCCTACAAATTATAAATATAGCTCATAGGAAAGACTGAAGATGGAGGACTATTCACTGTATTTTGATGAAGGCAGTAGTGGGAGAGAAAAAAGGAAAATATACCAAACGTACTCTGTGGCCTTCATAGTATTAATGGTGGTGTAGAGTGCTGACTGTCACAGAGATTGTAAAGATCGATTCTTTTAATTTTTGTGGTGTTCTGTGTCTCTTGAAATGTCAAACATGAAATTCAGGCACAGTATACTTTATTTGCATATGATTTCTGTATAATTTGCATAAACCCACAAAGACTGCATCTTCTATTCTTAGGCAATATGAAAGCTAGAACCTTAAACAAATTACCCTACCTCTGAGGGCTTCAGTTTCCTGAGAGACTAGATAAAATAATCTTTTCAGTTCTAACTTTCTATATAAGCTAAAAAACTATGTTACTACCACTTCTTAGGTTGTCATCAGTACATGTTTTCTCTTCTGTATTCTTTCTTATTTGATAGGGAAAGGTCCCTCAAAAATTCATGTGCTGAAATGCTAATTCCCAAGGTAATAATATTGGCAGGGGGCCTTTGAGAGGTGATTAGGTAATGAAGACAGAGTCCTCAAGATTGGGATTTGTGCCCTTATAAAAGAGGTCCCAGAGAGCTACCCTGTCCCTTCCACCATGTGAGGACACAGGGAGAAGGCGCAATACATGAACCAGGAAGTCAATCCTCACCAGACATCAAATTTGCCAGCACCTTGATTTTGGACTTCCCAGCTTCCAGAATTGTGAGAAATACATTTCTGTTGTTTATAAGCCACCCACTTTATGGTATTTTCTTATAGCTGCCTGAACAGACTAAGACAAAGGTGATCCAGGTTCCTATATGAAGGCCAGGAAATTGAATAAATTGCCCAAGGAACCCAACAAGAAAATGAAAGAGCTAGGATTCAAATGCAGGTGTATGTAACTCCAAAGTCTACACTCTTTACATCTATAAATGATTATGCTAAATAATCTACAATTTCCTTGGAAAACTAAAATTCTATGCCTATGATTTGAGCAATTTATGGCTTATAAATAATCTGAAAAGTATACAATATTTCTAGTGTTTGAACCAAATTTTAATTGTTTGTTTTTTCCTCTCACATTTCACATATTCTCCCATGCTAGTTTAAATTTGAAATGATTTTAAAACACATTTGAGTTTTTAACAGAACTGACAATCAGAACATTCTAATATTTCCACATTTTTAAAAGTCACTATGGGAAAATAACTTAGCTCAAGTTTTAGCACATTGAAATTCCTTTTTATCCCCCAGGAATCAATTTATATATGATCATAATAAATTCAGGTTAGCATGCTGCTCAGTGTGGGAATCTTCAGACAGTTTAAAGCTTACTTTCTTACATTTTCATATAACAACTCAACATAAAGGTTATAAGAGATTTTTCACAGCTTGAAAGGATTCTGTTATTTTACAGATGTGGAGACTGAAGTCAGAAAAGTGACATGATTAATCAATTATCCTGAATTTCTAATATGTTTGATTCACCACCCATAATATATTTTTGAATCAACTAAAAATTATTTATAATATACAAAAAGATCATCACTTATAATACATACAGTCTCAATACAAATTCCATTATGGTTTGCTGAAAAATATAATGTATTTACATTAATAGGGTAACACTCTATTTGATGCTTCAATATAGAATATTGAAAATTAAAATATTGTAAGAGGAAGCCATCAAGCTCCATGAACATTTATCCTATTTGAGTAACCTAAATAAAGGTTATCACTTTAAAACTATTATATCAGATTATAAACTAGAAAAAGACAATCCTTAGACACTAAATAATAGTCCAAAATCAATCTAAAAATTCAAAAATCAAATGTTTTAAGATGAAAAAGATGCAGACATTCTGTTAGTTTTTATTACATTGTAGCATTGTTTTTCATGAACTAAACCATCTTTAAACTGAGTACTTTGTCAGAATTCTCATTTCTAATATATTCTCATTCTCTCTCTCTCTTTCTCTCTTTCTTTTTAAAAGACAAGGTCTTGCTATGTTGCCCAAGCTGTTCTCAAACTCCTGGTCTCAAGCAATCCTCCCACCTTGGCCTCCCAAAGTACTGGGATTACAGCATGAACCACTATGCCTGGCCATTTCTAATGTATTTTCACTTTGCTTCAAACATTATATGACAAATGTATGATTGTTCGCTATAAAAATTTAAACACAAAAATATACAAAAGAAATAGTGAAAGTCCCTCTTTACACCATTCCTTCACTGCTAAATTTTTTATCTTGGATTTGACCTTCCTTTGGTCCTCAGAATAGAGTTCAGCTAAATCAGAAACCTAATCCTCTTTGAAGCTGACTCGACATCTTCATGGATAAATGATTATTACCTACTAATTTATAATAATAAAAATGCCTATGTTACTCTAATATAGTATTGGTGACAGAGCACCAGTTTGAAAAACAGAATATTCAATGCACTGTCATTTGCCAGAAAAAGCTAAGAAGCCAAAAAAAGAGTCCCATATAGAAAGAAAAATATTAGATGGGGCTCTGTATATTGATGTGGAACAATATCTAAGATATATTTGCTAATTTAAAAAAAAGCAAGGTGCAGAATGATGTGCATAGTATGCTTCCATTTTTAGAAAAAGTGGACACACACACATCAAGTATATATACTTATGTACATGTAAATAGCTTTGGCTGGGCACGGTGGCTCATGCCTGTAAGCCCAGCACTTTGGAAGGCCGAGGCAGGCGGATCACCTGAGTTCAGGAGTTCGAGACCAGCCTGGCCAACATGGCAAAACTCGTCTCTACTAAAAGTACAAAAATTAGCCAGGCATGGTGACAGGCACCTGTAATCCCAGCTACTCAGGAGGCTGAGGCAGGAGAATCAGTTGAACCCGGGTGGCGGAGGTTGCAGTGAGCCGAGATCGCACCACTGCACTCCAGCCTGGGTGACAAGAGCGAGACTCCATCTCAAAAAATAATTTAAAAAAAAGTTTTATATTAATAGTCTTTCTGGAAGGATACATATACATAGGACAACTGGTTTTCCTTGGGAGAGGAATTTTACTCTGTGTATGTGTTACTTTTTCAATAATAAAAACACCAATTAATTGTAAGGGGAGTAAGGAATGTATTTATTGATCCAAAGGAGGAATTTAGTAACTGCTAGCATTGATGTGGTCATTTTTATTTTATTTTATTTATTTACTTTTTGAGTTGGAGTCTCGCTCTGTTGCCCAGGCTGGAGTGCAGTGGCATGAACTCGGCTCACTGCAACCTCCACCTCCAGGGTTCAAGCAATTCTGCCTTGGCCTCTTGAGTAGCTGGGATTACAGGTGCGCGACACCACGCCCAACTAATTTTTGTATTTCAAGTACAGACAGGGTTTCACCATGTTGGTCAGGCTGGTCTCGAACTCCTGACCTCGTGATCCGTGAGGTGGTCATTTTTCTAAAGGATAGTCTCTATTAAGAGAATGGACTATAGCCTTTATCTAATTAAAAAGGAAAAGCACTCAAAAAGTTAGTGTTGTAAGTTTCAGGGACAAACTAATTTGTTAATAAGGCATTAACCTTTGGAATCATTCAGTACTTATATCTAATTAAATTTGTTTTTATACTTCCACTTTCAAAAAGGCCAAACAACCCCGGAGAAAGATCTTCACATTATCTGCCTATTTTACTTTTCCTTTGAACAGACCACCAGGGTGATTAAATTAAACTTCAGGTTAATCCCTTTAAAGTCTACAGTCTTAACACTGGCAGTACAAACAAGAAAATTACATTTATTTACTGTATAACTTAGGACACAATTCCCAAAATGCATTTAAATTCTAAAGTTGCAAAGGCAAATAGTCATATTCTATTTATTCCAAAATTAGAGATTTCCTGACTATTCACTCTTTTTGAATTCTGTTAATTAATCTGTTCTGCTGTTGCATTTTCCAATAAAACAACTTTACTCAATTTAATATCACAATTATATTACTTCATTCCAAACACTACCAAGAGCTCCTTGACTTAGTTGAAACACTCTTCTCCCCAAATCTGATTTCTAAATTAACTGCACCTGAGGCTTAATTATAATCCTAGAAGTTATGATTCAGAAATATTCTTTTTTGTGTACATTTCTTTTTTAACTTTTCTTTTAAGTTCAGGGGTATATGTGCAGGTTTGTGATATAGGTAAACTTGTGTCATAGGGGTTTGTTGTACAGATTATTCTGTCACCCAGGTATTAAGCCTAGTTCCCATTAATTATTTGCAGAAATTTTAAGCTTTAACATTCTTTAAAAAGTAATCAATATTTATGTATGATCATGTTGAACTACATTCTGACTATAAATTATGTTTGGGCAAAGACAGCTTTCTATATGATGTCTAGAAAGAGGTGAATTCACACTTTGTGGTGTCTGAAACTTAAACAATTTGAAGGGCCTTCTTTAAAAAAAGGAATAAAAAACCATAAACACAAAATTTTGTACAAAAGAAAATATTCTGAGCGCATAACAAAAATCATAAGTTATATGGCCGGGTGCAGTGGCTCACACCTGTAATCCCAGCACTTTGGAAGGTGAAGGGGGGCGGATCATCTGAGGTCAGGAGTTTGAAACTAGCCTGGCCAACATGGTGAAACCCTGTCTCTACTAAAAATACAAAAATTAGCCGGGCATGATGCCACGTGCCTGTAATGCCAGCTACTCGGGAGGCTGAGACAGGAGAATCACTTGAACCCAGGAGGCGAAGGTTGCAGTGAGCCGAGATCGCACCATCGCATTCCAGTACAGATGACAGAGCAAGATTCCGTCTCAAAATAAAATTTAAAAAAATTTAAATCACAAGTTATAAATTTTTAAAGCTAACAAATATCATAAAAATCCATAACAATAACATTTTTATTAATAATGCCTGATATACCTCTCTGATAGTTTCTTTTCCTATGTTTTTGGCTGTATATTCTTTAGTGCTTCATTTGACGACTTTATAAAATCACTTGTATATAAAGAAAATAAAAATAGTTCAGTCTTTTCTCTAGATAAAAATTTTTAAAATTAATGATAGTTTAGAAAAGTTCCTTTCAACATAACAACTAGGCATTGATACATTTTTAAAGCTACTGTCAAATTTGAGAAAACTGTTGAGTTTCTTTCATATATGAGCTGTAAGATTTCAGGGCATTTCAAATTTACTTGTGAAGTGACTAATCTTACATATTCTTTGAACTGGTAACATTCATTTACCAGTTTTACACTGAGCCCTGCATCTTCATGTCATGATGCTTAGTGAGTTGGCCCCATGAGTAGTAGGGGTGTTCCAAGAAGCCATCCCTATATCAGAATTCCTAGCAAAAACTCCACTATACACAGAAGTGACAAAGAACCACCTATAGCCAAATAGCCTACTAACCCCAAACTAAACATATCCCCAACTCAACCTCCCCTTAGTCACATCCCCAAAAAGCTCATGGCCATTCCAATATCACACTAACACAAAGGGGAGGTCTAACAGAAGAGTCATTGAAGTAGAAATGGACAATGGCCTTGAAGGGTTGTGGTTAAATTTTTTTTTAATTTTTCAAATTGTACAAAAACACATGACCATATAAACACATTGCTGATACTCCTTCCAGAGTCTTAGAAGAAGGTCACTGCAAATGAGGAGCTCTGAAACTTAAGCTTCATTAACTTCACAGAAAATCTCTCTCTGGCCCCAGAACACTTCACACTTAGTAAAATATTTTTTTAAAAAAGAATAAAGGTTACTAACATAAGGGCTTTTGACTGAAAGAGGAGAAGCAGAGCTGAAAAAGGCAGAACAAGTGTGTTTTCTTTTATTTTTAGCAATCAAATTATGAATGTGCCCTGGAAAGTAGTCTTGAGTATCTGTCACTGGAATTTGTATAAATCACTGTTGACAACACAAAGTGCTTTCACATTATATTGCTGCTATTCTTCATTTTCAGTGTAATCAAAATTCAATTGCATTTGTTTGACCTTAAACAGACCTTATTAAGCAGTGGTGAACTTTGGGAAGATGCAGCGGAAATAGCCATCTTACATATGAGTGTGATGCAAACAGGCTGTTTTGGGAAGCAAGAATGTATTTGCAAACATCAAAGCAGAATCTAGTTTTATAGTTATACATGGATATGTTGGCAGAGACAAATATTCACCTACAATAGTTTGCTAGACAGAGAGTTGAGGGTTTTGGAAAATACTTTAGCTGTCAGTGGACAATAAGTACCTAAGTCATTTGGCAAAAAATTACATGAACTAGTTTCCAAATGGTTAAAACAGCTTTACTGCAATTAGCACAGACACTACTATATAATTAGTAAGGTTCAGCTTCTGTTCTGGCCCTCAACACCAGCCCCACCTCAGATCAAGTGGAGGAGGTTTAATTAGTTTCATCTGAGGATAAATCAAATTCATGTGTCATACTTATTACTCAGTGAAATTAAGCAACTCATTTTTAAAGCATTAGCATTGAGTTTGCAGAGCTACTTTTACTATTCTCTTTACTAATCAACAAACTGCAAAATATGCCTAACTTTTGCATAGATATGATTAGGGGAAAATATTTTTATATAAATTTGAATATTTTGAAGATAAATACGTAAAATAATTACCTGTCATCTCTCAGCTTTTCCAACTTGGCTCTTTCCCCAAAGATCATTAAAGGCAACCGTATCCCTGTTCGGGGATGTTGCCGGGAAGAAGCAATGTGGGAGCCTCTAAGACTGGAATTACGCCAAGGTAGATGGTGAATACAAGAAAAAAAAAATCTACCTTTGGAGCATGTGAAAATGGAAAGTTCATATCTAAGTAGTCACATGGATGTCAACAGTACAGAAAACTTAGGAGAAGGAATATATGCTATGTAAATAAAACTTTTCTAGCCACAGCTATCAACATAGTCTTAGCTAATCAGAGTGTAGAGTCAACAAACAAGAAATACTGCTTTTTCCCTCATACAAATAGTAATATGGATCCAAAGTTTACTCTCTGGCCAAGATGACTATAAAACTTAGACATGGAAAAAATCACCTACAGTTTCAGATTAGGAAGAGAAGAATTGTCCACATATTAGCACCACACTTCATAGGACTCTTGAATTAAGGAAATGTATCAGACTTCATAGAGAGTAATGATGGGCTAATTAGCCAATTTTGGGTAATAAAAACAAGGCAAACTGAAACCAATCTACTCAAGATCTTATAATAAATCAGAATTTTAGGTAAGAATACTGCAGAGATAAAGTATAAATTCTGTATTTCACTAAAGAGCCAAAACCATTTTGAAACCTCTGAAAAATAAATGGTAAAAGTTAATGTTTAGATCAAGAATAGTTAAAAAGTAGAGCTCTCACAAGTATCTGATCTGGAGACACAAAATATTCTAGTTCCAATGTAATCATTCACGCCCTTAAAAATATGATGAGCTTCTGATAATTAGAAAGAATCCATCTTGTCCCTAATTTTGAATTTTGTGCTAAATCTGATGTCCAGTTGGACAAAGCTTTCATTATGATATTAACATCTGCTCCTGGTAGTATGTCAAAAAATGTATTGCATGTGGATCTCAACTAGTCATAGGAAAACCATTCTGGTAGTGATGCAAGCTGATCAAATTCCAAAGTGGCATTAACTTCCCGCCATTACTGTAATGAACATTGCATAAAAGCAAAATTACAGAGAACCTCCAGCAAATAGAATTACCACCAATATAAGGTTGTTTTAATGATAAGATAACATTAAAATGATAAGTATATTACACAAATGAGAATACAACTCAGCTAAAATGACATATCCATTACTGACTCATTAAGGCCTGGCAGTAAAAATAAACATGTTTAAGGGTAAGCAATTCAGGCTGGGCGTGGTGGCTCATGCCTGTAATCCCAATACTGTGGGAGGCCGAGGCGGGCGGATCACCTGAGGTCAGGAGTTCCAGGCCAGCCTGGCCAACATGGTGAAACCCCGTTTCTACTAAAAGTACAAAAAATTACCCAGGAATGGTGACGTGCACCTGTAGTCCCAGCTACTTGGGAGGCTGAGTCATGATAATTGCTTGAACCCAGGAGCCAGAGGTTGCAGTGAGCTGAGATGGCACCACTGCACTCCAGCCTGGGCGACAGAGTGAGATTCCATCTAAAAAAAAAAAAAAAAAAAAAAAAAAAGTAAGCATAATATTTAAGCAAAGCTTCTGTATGTTATTGTCAATACAGTAGGAATCCTCAAGCTTTTGGCATGAGATATTGTTAATTCTTTGGATCCTGAGATACAAGTTGGAGAGAAATGAGAAAAAAATATGTTCAAAAACAAACTAAATAAAGCATGGGAAAGAGTACTGAAATTATATACACTACAATTAGTGCTGAGAATTGCGAAGAGTGACAAGGGAAAGGGGCGGGCAGGGGTGGTGGCAGGGGGTGGCCAAAAGGCTTAGAAATGGCAACTGGTATGGAGATATACTAGGAAGTTCCAATCCACTAGTCAGAGACATCTACCTTAACAGAATACAATAGGCAGGAAGGCCTGGACCAACTCTTAGAATCATCAGCAAAACACATTATAAAATTCAACTGATGAGAATGGCATGCAAATAAATAGCAAGGATTTTTCTAGGTGATGGGTATAGGGTAGATTCTTGTACTATTAATAGTTGCTAGATGACGAGTTAGTGGGTGCAGCGCACCAGCACGGCACATGTATACATATGTAACTAACCTGCACAATGTGCACATGTACCCTAAAACTTAAAGTATAATAAAAAAAAATAGTTTCTCCACCTTTGTGTATGTTTGAAATTTTTAATGGAAAGTAAGTCTTCTTGGACCAAGTGAGGCTTACCCTGGGAATGCATGGCTGGCTCAACATTTGAAAATCAATCAGTGTAATTCACCATCTTAACAGACTAAAGGAGAAAAACCATATGATCATCTCTATATGCAGAAAAAGCACTTGACAAAATTCAACATCCATTCATGATGTTTAAAAAAACCCTCAGCAAACTAGTAATAGAAATAACTTAATTAATCTGATAAATAGTATTTACAAAACTCTACAACTAACACAATGCTAACTGTAAATGACTGAATGTTTCCCCCAACCATCGTTCACTCTCACCACTCCCAATCAAAATTGTAATGAAGGTTTGATAATACAAGGGAAAAAAAAAAGATATACAGACTACAAAGGAATAAATAAAACTATGTGGCCAGGTGCAGTGGCTCACACCTGCAATCCCAGCACTTTAAGAGGCCGAGGTGGACGGATCACTCAAGGTCTGGAGTTCAAGACCACCCTGGCCAACACGGCGAAACCCCAACTCTACTAAAAATACAAAAATTAGCCAGGTGTGGTGGCATGTGCCTGTAATCCCAGCTACTTGGGTGACTGAGGCATGAGAATTGCTTGAACCCAGGAGGTGGACGTTGCAGTGAGCCAACATTGTGCCACTGTACTCCAGCCTGGGTCACAGAGTGAGACTATCTTAAAAAAAAAAAAAAACTATATACCTTGATGACATAATTACATAGAAAATCCCAAGAAATGTACAAAAAAGCTAATAGGTTTGATAAGTCAGTTTGGCTACGTTCCAGGATACAAAGTCAACATATAAAAACCTCATAATGAACACCTGAAATTAAACTTAAATTTAAAATTTAAAAACAGTACCATTTATAACAGCATTCAAAAACATAAAGTACTTAAATATAAATCTAACAAAATATGTACAGAAACTGCATGCTGAAAACTATTGATTCCTGATAAAAGAAATCAAAGAATACCAACATAAATAGACATATACTATGTGCATGGATTGGAAAACTCAATATTGGTAAGATGTTACTTCTGTCCAAATGGATCTGTAGAATCAACACAATCTCAACGAAAATCCCAGCAGATATTTTTGTAGAAACTTATAAACTGATTCTAAAATTTATATGGAAAGTAAAAGGGCCTAGACTAACCAAAACAATTTTGAAAAAGAAGAAATTCAATAACAACAAAACAAAAAACCCAACTAAAAATTTGGCCAAAGGGTTTAACACACATTTCACCAAAGAAGGTATACAAATGCCTAATAAACACATGAAAAGATGCTCAATATCATTAGCCATTAAGGAAATGAGAATTAGTGATGTAATATTACACACCCATTAGAATGTCTATAATTTAAAAGACTGACAATACAAATTGTTGGAGGGAATGTGGAGAAAATGGAACACTTTCAAAGTGGAACACAAACACTGCTGGTGGGAAGATAAAATGGTATTTCCACTGTGGTAAATCATTTGGCAGTGTATCACTTACCAATGAGGACACCACGTATGGGCTCTGTCACAACTATTCAACTCTCTTGTAGTGAAAAAAGGGCTGTACACAATACGTAAATGAATGAGTGTGGCTGTGTTCTAATAAAACTGTATATTACTAAAACTTTACTTACAGACACAAAAATTTGAATTTCATGTGCTTTTCATAAGTTCCTAAATATTTTTTTAATTTTTTTCAATGGTGTAAAAATGTAAAAGGCATTCTTAGCTTATGAGCCATATGAAAGCAGTTGGCAAACTGGGTTTGGCCTGCAGATCACCATTTTCCAATCCCTGCCATATATGCATGAAGTTTCTTATGATAACCACAGGTACTTCATGCAGTATTCAGAAGGCTTTTTTATAACCTGAACTACATCTTTAACCACAGTATATCTAGAATGCTGTTGATGCTCAAGTAATGTTAAACAACAATAGAGTCTTCAACTTAAAGCCCTAGAGTCTGAAAAACAAACAAACAAAAAACCAATAATAGAGTCTTCCTTAGGCATATCATACAAGGTGTACTAGTAATTTTGGCTGGGCATGGTGGCTCACACCTGTAATCCCCGCACTCTGGGAGGCCCAGGTGGGAGGATCACTTGAGTCCAGGAGTTTGAGATCAGCCTGGACAACATAGTGAGACCCCCATCGCTACAAAAAATAAATTAAAAAATTAGCTGGCATGCAGCCGGGCACAGTGGCTCATGCCTGTAATCCCAACAGTTTGGAAGGCTGAGGTGGGCAGATCACCTGAGGTCAGGAGTTCAAGACCAGCCTGACCAACATGGAGAAACCCTGTCTCTACTAAAAATACAAAATTAGCTGGGAGTGATGGCGCATGCCTGTAATCCCAGCTACTCGGAAGGCTGAGGCAGGAGAATTGCTTGAACCGGGAGGTGGAGGTTGTGGTGAGCTGAGATCGTGCCACTGCACTCCAGCCTGGGCAGCAAGAGCAAAACTCCATCTTAAAAAAAAAAAATTAGCTAGCATGGTGGTGCACGCCTGTGGTCCTAGGTACTTGGGAGGCCGAGATGGGAGGATTGCTTGAGCCTGGGAAATCTAGGCTGCAGTGAGCTGTGATTTTGCCACTGCAATGCAGCCTGGGTGACAGAGCAAGACCCTGTCTGAAAAAAAAACTAAAAATAAAAACCAAAGTATACTAGTAATTCTCTAGACATTTTCCCTTCAAGTTTTAATTGCAAAATAATCACCATGTTATAAAAGAAAAAGAAAACCCTAACCCATCCCCTGAAAACATACATTTTAGTTCAGTATGAGATTCAGAGTAATAAACAGTATATAAATACTCATATACTTATAAAATATAAATCTATAAATATACAACCACAATATCAAGATTCCATGTTCAGATGTTTTTAAATTGAAAATATATCTTTTTTCTTTATGAGAGGAATTAATGGGTCAAAGAAAACTTATTTAGCTTCAAGATAAGAAGTACAATAGTTTTTATTGCCAAATGTGTCAGTGTGTCTGCTTCTATCTCATTGTTAGAAGTAATTTCTAGTAGAATTCTCTTCAATGGCATTTGACTTCAGTTTCCAAAGAGTAACTTACCTTAATGTGATGCACACCATTCACTTTTCCAATCTGCTGCTCAATGGTCCAAACACAGGAATTGCAAGTCATACCCTCAACAGAAATGGTAACAGAATTCACACCCATACTTGGATCCATTTTGATTTCCTCATTACATTCCTGTTAGAAACAATAAATTCATTAATTTCAGCCATGCAAATAATCTTTCCTCAACTTTTCCCCCACCTCCCCAATTAAAAATATGCTACATTTTATATATGCTCAAGTGTCATGTTTAAAAAATTAAAATGTGCTAGTAATAAAATATGGTAAGCATTCTTCCTGCTTAGAAAAAAAATTCTTATCACCTTAGATGAAGTAAAGGAAAGTTGTTTCTATGGATATGCTAACTAAAAATAAAAATTTCAATACTTTAATACAAGTAACTAGCTTTCATAGAGTGCTTTCCTGATTACTAATGTTTCCCATACATAATCTCATTTAACATTTGTAAGTACGAATTAAGAACTAATCAAAAATGCCTCAAATCCTTACAACAGCCAACAAGGTCCCACATGATTTCCCATGCCTGTCCCCCTCAAGTTTACCTGGCCTCCTCTTCTACCACTCACCAAACCCTTCTCTGTGCCAGTCATACTGGCCTCCTGGCTGTTACGCATGCAAGGATGACTCCTACTTCAAGGCCTTATTTTAGCTATTCTCTTGCTTTGGGACTTTCTTCTTCCAGATAACTGCTTGGCTAACTTCTTTGTCTCCAAGTCTTTGTTCAAATCTAACCTTAATGAGGACTATGCTGACCACCCTATTTAAAACTGCAACCTACATCCCTTCCACACAAACATACTCTGATTCCCCTTACCTCTGCTTTTTCTTTTGTTTTCATAGAACGTACCACCTTCTAACATACTCCATAACTTGCTGATTTATTCTGTTTATTGCTTATTGTCTGCCTTCCTGTGGTGGTTTTAAAATACGCCCACAAATTCTTTGCTACTCCTTCCTTCAAGAGGTGGAATTTAATCCTTTCCCCTTCGGTGTGGCCTGAACTTAATGACTTGTTTCTTGTTTTTTGTTGTTGTTGTTGTTTTGGTTTTTGTTTTTGTTTTTGTTTTTGAGACTCAATTCTGTCTCGCAGGCTGGAGTGCTGTGGCACGATCTCAGTTCACTGCAACTTCCGCCTCCCGGGTTGAAGTGATTCTCCTGCATCAGCCTCCCCAGTACCTGAGATTACGGGCGCATGCCACCACACCCGGCTAATTTTTTGTATTTTAAGTAGAGACAAGGTTTCACCATGTTGACTAGGCTGGTCTCGAACACCTGACCTCAAGTGATCCACCCGCCTCGCCCTCCCAAAGTGCTGGGATTACAGGCATGAGCCACCACACCTGGCCTAATGACTTGTTTCTAATGAATAGACTACGGTAGAAGCGACAAGGTGTGACTTCCAAGACTAGGTCATAAAAAACATTGCAAGAGGAGAAAAAAGCATTGTGTTTTCCTTGTTGTCCTCTCTCCTGAATCACGCAATCTGGGGGAAGCCACCTACCAAGTATGAAGACATACAAGCAGCCTTATGGAGAGGTTCATATGGTGAGGAACTGAGGCCTCATGTCAAAAACCAGCAAAGACCTAAGGCCTCCCGCCAATAGCCAGGTAAGTGAACCACCTTGGAAACTGCTCCTTCAGACCTAAGTTAAGCCTTTAAACTACTACATCCCCAGACACCATATTGACTACAACTTCATGAGACACCCTGAGCCAGAACTACCCATCTAAGCTGCTCCCAAATTATTGAGTCATAGGAAATGTGAGATAATAAATGTTTGTTGCTTTAAGCCACTAAATTTTGGGGTTATTTGTTACACTGCAATAATTAAGTAATACACTTCCCACTAGAATAAAAACTCCATGAAGATAGGACTCTGTTTTTTCACTGATATTAGGCTGAACCACATGAAATCATCATAGTCAAACACCGGCAATTTCATATAAATCAATCTAATATATCCCATGGAAACAGTGGTTCCTCTGGTGAGGGGAAATGAGTGGTTAGGGAATAAGGGTGGGAAAAAGAATTTTCAGCGTATAACCTTTTGTACCTTTTACTTCAAATGGTATAAAAAGTATTGCAGCCCACCGCCATGGCCGCCTACAAACTGGTGCTGATCCGGCACGGCGAGAGCACATGGAACCTGGAGAACCGCTTCAGCTGCTGGTACGACGCCGATCTGAGCCCGGCGGGCCACGAGGAGGCGAAGCGCGGCGGGCAGGCGCTACGAGATGCTGGCTATGAGTTTGACATCTGCCTCACCTCAGTGCAGAAGAGAGTGATCCGGACCCTCTGGACAGTGCTAGATGCCATTGATCAGATGTGGCTGCCAGTGGTGAGGACTTGGCGCCTCAATGAGCGGCACTATGGGGGTCTAACCGGTCTCAATAAAGCAGAAACTGCTGCAAAGCATGGTGAGGCCCAGGTGAAGATCTGGAGGCGCTCCTATGATGTCCCACCACCTCCGATGGAGCCCGACCATCCTTTCTACAGCAACATCAGTAAGGATCGCAGGTATGCAGACCTCACAGAAGATCAGCTACCCTCCTATGAGAGTCCGAAGGATACTATTGCCAGAGCTCTGCCCTTCTGGAATGAAGAAATAGTTCCCCAGATCAAGGAGGGGAAACGTGTACTGATTGCAGCCCATGGCAACAGCCTCCAGGGCATTGCCAAGCATGTGGAGGGTCTCTCTGAAGAGGCTATCATGGAGCTGAACCTGCCGACTGGTATTCCCATCGTCTATGAATTGGACAAGAACTTGAAGCCTATCAAGCCCATGCAGTTTCTGGGGGATGAAGAGACGGTGTGCAAAGCCATAGAAGCTGTGGCTGCCCAGGGCAAGGCCAAGAAGTGAAGGCCAGCGGGGAGGATACTGTCCCCAGGAGCACCCTCCCTGCTGGTCTTGTCCCTCTGCCCCTCCCACCTGCACATGTCACACTGACCACATCTGTAGACATCTTGAGTTGTAGCTGCAGATGGGGACCAGTGGCTCCCATTTTCATTTTAGCCATTTTGTCGCCTGCACCCACTCCCTTCATACAATCTAGTCAGAATAGCAGTTCTAGAGCACAGGTTCTCAGTCTAAGCTGTGGAAAAGCTCCCCTTATCCAACAGAGTTTAAAAGTAGTGACTTGGGTTTTTGTGAGTGCTTTGTTTACTAAGGACTTTGGGGAGGAACATGCTAAGCCACGACCAATGAGGAGAAGCAACAGAGCCTGTCTGTCCCCATGAGCAGAGTCTGTCCTCTGCTCTTCTGCAGTCAGGCCACTGCCTGGGGGCTCTAGTCATTCCAGTGGAAGATGAATGTAATCTGCATGGTGATGTGACAACTGTTTCCTCCTTGACCCCAGAGGATCTGGCTCTAGGTTGGGATCAATCCTGAATTTCGTTATGTGTTATATTTACTTTTATTAAAAAAGTATAGTATATATTAATAATACAAAACAATAACCCTTCTGGGGTTTCTTGTGGCGGTTGAAATAGTCCCACATGTGGTCATCAGAAAATAAGCCATTCCTCATACCAATATAGGATCAGCTCCTTGACCTCTGAGGGGCAGGAGTGCTTCCTGGTGTGTGTATTAGAATCCCTTCCTGCCTTGTTTCATGGCAGTGAAATGCCTCTTGGTCCTGTCCAAGTGTGTCTTTCACTGATTTCTGAATCATGTTCTAGTTGCTTGACCCTGCCACATGGGCCCAGTGTTCATCTGAGCATAACTGTACTAAATCCTTTTACCAGATCAGTATAATAAAGGAGTGATGTGCAATTAAAAAAAAAAAGTATTACAACATCATTTTAGTTTTGGTGAGCTCAGAGAAACTTAAGCAGAAAATGCTGAACCATGCCCGCTGCTACTAACAAAGCAAGATGATTAATGGACTCTTGTAACTTCTCCAACTAATTTCTGTGGAGCTTTGAACAATTAGACCACCCAGTCTATGGTATTATGTTATGGAAGCCTGAACTAAGACATATGCATTCTTTTTTAAATTGGGATATAATTCACATGCTATAAAATTCAGCCTTTTAACCTACAGAATGGGAGAAAACATTTTGCAATCTACCCATCTGACAAAGGTCTAATATCCAGAATCTACAAGGAACTTAAACAATTTACAAGAAAAAAACAACCCCATCAAAAAGTGGGCAAAGGATATGAATAGACATTTCTCAAAAGAAGACATTTATGCGGCCAACAAACATATGAAAAAAAGCTCAACATCACAGATCATCAGAGAAATGCAAATCAAAACCACAATGAGATACCATCTCACACCAGTCAGAATAGCAATTATTAAAAACTCAGGAAACAATAGATGCTGGTGAGGCTGTGGGGAAATAGGAACGCTTTTACACTGTTGGTGGGAATGTGAATTAGTTCAACTATTGTGGAAGACAGTATGGCGATTCCTCGAGGATCTAGAACCAGAAATACCATTTGACCCAGCAACCCCATTACTGGGTACATACCCAGAGGAATATAAATCATTCTACTATAAAGACACATGCACACGTATGTTTACTGCAGCACTATTTACAATAGCAAAGACTTGGAACCAACCCAAATGCCCATCAATGATAGACTGGAGAAAGAAAATGTGGTACATATACACCATGGAATACTATGCAGCCATACAAAGGAATGAGATCATGTCCTTTGCAGGGATATGAATGAAGCTGGAAACCATCATCCTCAGCAGACTAACACAGGAACAGAGAACCAAATGCTGCATGTTCTTGTTCATAAATGGGAGTTGAACAATGAGAACACATGGACACAGGGAGGGGAACATCACACACCGGAGCCTGCTGGGGGGTGAGGGGTGAGGGGAGGAAACTTAAAGGATGGGTCAATAGATGCAGCAAACCACCATAGCACACATGTACCTACGTAACAAACCTGCACGTTCTGCACATCTATCCTGGTTTTTTTTAGAAGAAATGAAAAAAATTCAGCCTTTTAAGGTATCCAGTTCAGTACTTTTTAGTACATTCACAAGGATGTGCAACCATAATGACTATGTAGTTGCAAAACATTTTCATTACTCCAAAAAGAAATCCCATGTCCATTAGCAACACTCCCCATTTCCTCTCTACTCACAGCCCCTGGCAAACACTAATTTTATTTCCTATCTCTACGGATTTGCCTATACGGCCATTTCATATAAATTGATTCATTCAATATGTGTCCTTGTGTGTCTGGATTCTTTCACTTAGCATAATGTTTTCAAGGTACATTGATGTGTAAAATGTATCGGTATTCCATTCTTTTCACTTTCTTGATGGTGTCCATTGAATCACAAAAGCTTTTAATTTGTGAAGTCCAATTTATCTTTTTTCTTTTGTGTTTTTTGTGTCATATCTAAGAAACCATTGCCACATTCAAACTTACGAATATTTACTGCTATGTTTTCTTCTAAGAGTTTTTGTAGTTTTGGCTCTTATATTTAGGTCTTTAATCCATTTTGAGTTAATTGTTGTACATGGTGTATGGTAAGGATCTGACATACATTGTTTTACATGTGGATGTCCTGTTTTCCCAACACCAGTTTTAAAACATTCTTGAGATGTAGTTCACGTATTATATAATTCGCACATTTAAAGTGTAGAATTCAATAGTTGTTAGCATATTCACAGACATGTGCAACCATCACCACAGGCAATTTCAGAACATTTTCATCACCTAAAAACAACAACAACAACAACAAAACATACCCCTTACCTATCAGTCATCACCTCCTAAGCCTTCTGTCCTGGGCAACCACTAATCTACTTTGCTTGTATAGATTTTCCTCTTCTGGACATTTCAGATGAATGAAATCATGTAATATGTGGTCTTTTGTGACTGACTTCTTTCATGTAGCATGTTTTCAGTGTTCATCCATGTTACAGCACATATCAGTACATCATTCCCTTTTATGGCTGAATAATATTCCACTGCATAGATACACCATAATTTATCTATTTGTCAGTTGATGAACATTTGGGTTGTTTCCATCTTTTGGCTATTATGAATAATGCTGCTATAAACATTCATGTACAAACTTTTGTGTTTTCATTTCTCTTTGGTAATACCTAAGAGTAGACTTGCTGGGTCATATAATAACTCTATGTTTAATTGTTTGAGGATCTGCCAGACTGTTTTCCAAAGTGACTGTACCATTTATACTCCCATGAGCAGTATATAAGGGCCCCAATTGTTCCACCTCCGATACCTATTATCTTTTTTATTCTACCCATCCTAGCAGGTGTGAAGTGGTATCTCATTGTGGTTTTGATTCACATTTCTCTGATTACTGATGATGTCAAGCATCTTTTCATGTGCTTATTGGGTATTTGTATATCTTCGAAGAAATGTCTATTCAAGCACTCTACCCAATTTTTAATAAGGTTATTTTGTTGTTGTTGTTGAGTTGTAAGAGTTCTTTATATTCTTGGATATTAATCCCTTATCAGATATATGACTTTCAAATACTTTCTCCTATCCAGTTGGTTGTCTTTCACTCTTTTTTTTTGAAATAAAATTTGCTTTTAATAAAAATTTATTTTGTACATTTTTAAAATTGCAATTTTCAGGACATGTAAGAAAAATATTTTTCCTCATACTGAAATAAGCATATCTTTGGTATAGAAATCACACCCTGTGTGTGATCTTTTAACTTAAAAAAAAAAAAGTCCAGTGCTTTTACATTGTTGGCGGGAGTGTAAATTAGTTCAACCATTGTGGAAGACAGTGTGATGATTCCTCAAGGATCTAGAACTAGAAATACCATTTGACCCAGTAATCCCATTACAGGATATATACCCGAAGGATTATAAATCATTCTACTATAAAGACACATGCACATGTATGTTTATTGAGGCACTATTCACAATAGCAAAGACTTGGAACCAACCTAAATGTCCATCAATAACAGACTGGATAAAGAAAATGTGGCACATATACACCATGGAATACTCCGCAGCCATAAAAAAGGATGAGTTCATGTCCTTTGCAGGGACATGGATGAAGCTGGAAACAATAATTCTCAGCAAACTATCACATGAACAGAAAACCAAACACTGCATGTTCTCACTCGTAAGTGGGATTTGAACAATGAGAACACACAGACATAAGGAGGGAAGCATCACACACTGGGGCCTGTCGGGGGGTGGGGATTAGGCGAGGGATAACATTAGGAGAAATACCTAATGTAGGTGATGGGTTGATGGGTGCAGCAAACCACCATGGCACGTGTATACCTATGTAACAAAACTGCATGTTCTGCACATGTACCCCAGAACTTAAAGTATAAAAAAAAAAGTCCAGAACTAGACCTAATATGCTAAACAAAACTATTCTTTGGCCATCCATCTGCAGCCTTTCAATGCACCATTGTGGAGCTTCAGAATATCATTCTGTACACATCACCATATCTACAAAGAATTAAGATGTCATATCAAAGATATCCAGAAGTTATATATGGTACAGAATTAGTTGGCTTAATCATTCACACATAATACAAACTACCAAAAAGCGACATAAGATACAGAACAAATAAAATAGGACATTGTCACTAAGGTCAAATAATATAAAAACAATCATGTTATTTAAATTTGATGTATTGGAAGCAAAGTAACTTAGAGTTATGTAAATAACTTGTAAAGCTCCAAAATTCATAGTACAGAGCCATAAATCTGATAAGGCACTTTAAAGACAGCAATCAAACATATAAAAATACCGAAAACAAAAAATATTAAGTGTAAAAGCAGTAACCATAGAAATAAATAGGAAAAAAAATTCGTTCTTTCTAGACAGTCTTTCATTTTCTGAAATAAAGACTTCTTAGCTGGGTGCAGTGGCTCACGCCTGTAATCCCAGCACTTTGGGAGGCCGAGGCGGGTGGATCACTTGAGGTCAGGAGTTCGAGACCAGCCTGGTCAATATGGTGAAACCTTGTCTCTACTAAAAATACAAAAAATTAGCCGGGTATGGTGGCACACGCCTGTAATCCCAGCTACTAGGGAGGCTGAGGCAGGAGAATCACTTGAACCCAGGAGGCAGAGATTGCAGTGAGCCAAGATCGCACCACTGCACTCCAGCCTGGGAGACAGAATGAGACTCTGTCTCAAAAAAAAAAGACTTTTTAAAATAATCATTTGAGGACAAAAGTATTTATCATGTTTTTAAAAGCTATCATCAAAGTTAAAATCTCTGTGAAAAAGATAACATTTTCCTTCAAGTCAACAAAGTCCTGATTCATACATTTTTAGAGAAACAATTATAGTCTTCCTGCTAAATACAGGAAGAAAAAATAGCTTTGTATTATGTTAATCAACTCTTCTTTTCAATAAACATTTAGTGAATGCTATGTGACACTGTTTTAGGTGCTGGGGATATCGAAGTAAGTAAGACAATCATTTGCCTAGAGAACTCAGCCTAATGGAGCTGGAACCTTAAAGTTATCTCCCTTGGTCCATAAGATGAAGCTCAACTTCTAATTCTGCCATGCTTGGCATCTTACTGCAAAACAAATAATGGTCCACTTAGTTTGCTACTGGTAGCACTGTGGCACAATTAATATTAACTATCTACTGATAAAATTAAATTTTGTAAAGGATTTTATGAAAGTTTGAAGGGCAGAAAGTGTAAGAATAAACAAGTACTGATCAACATCAAAAATAGAATCAGTATTCTGCTTTTACAAAGGTCAAGAAAACCAAGAAAAACTTCATTCTGAAGATATAGAGAACTGCTAGATATTATCCTATATATGTGGCACATGTGAAATGATCATATATGAGGAAGTATGAATTATTACACAGTCACTATCAAAGAGCTAAGTATGCCAAATCAATTGTCAGGTTTCCAAGAATCACAGCATTCTTTCAAGAGGTCCCGTCATGTTTTAAGGAAACGTGCATTTTCCGTACATTTGACGGCAAGCTCTTCCACTTGAGCTGATACTGTAGATATGGCTTCAAGAAGTTTGGTTGACGAAAATGCTGTGTCTCTGATCTGCAGCCCCACTTCCTCCAGCAGGTCTACTGTTCCGCTGCTGCTCCTGCTCAAAACGGGCCGGCCTAAACTCACAGCAATGCCCAGGGAAGATGCTGAAGAAGGGTCTGAAAATGAGGGAGAAGAGAGAGGAAGTAGGGCTGTGAAGAAACTCATAACACCTCAGGGTCAGCCACAGGGAAGGGCTGGTGTTAACAGTGGAGGGTGTCCAGGTTCTTGGCGTCTTAAACAAAGAATTGGACAAAACGCACAAACAAAGCAAGGAAGGAATGGAGGGATTTGTTGAAAATGAAAGTACACTCCACAGTATGGGAGCAGGCCTGAGCACAGGGGCTCAAAAGGCCCTCTTACAGAGTTTTTTTGAGTTTAAATACCCTCTACTTGGAGTACACCCTATGTAAAAGGAGAGGATGAAGTAAAGTTACAAAATCATTTACTTGGCCTATGCTCTATGAGAGGATATTTCCTGTCATAGCTGAAGTGTGAATCAGCCTTATGTTCCTGCCTCTAGACCCTATTTTCCAGCCTCACTGGGACGGCAGAATCCGACCAGAGCAGCCAAACCATCTTTCAACCGCTTGTACCCAAATCCTCCATTCTCTTGATAGTGTCCTTTTGTGTACAAGTTTTCAAGTCTGAAGAAGTCCAATTTTACTATTCAGGACCCTCACAAGGTTCACACATTGCATTTGGTTTTATGTCTCTTTTGTCTCATTTAATCTAGAATAGCTCCTTCCATATCTCTTTTCCCCCATGAAGTGACTTTTTGAAGGTCAGTTGTCTTAACATCCAGTGTATCTTCTTTTTAAAATATAAACTCTTTTTTGATAATCAGGGGGGTGATAGTTGGAATTATATCTCTTAATACCTACATAAGGTCAGTTACTACAAGAGAACAAAAGCCCAGATAGGACAGGAAAGGCAAGTTTGGGAGCAAAGGACAAATAGGATGAGTTCAGGTGGCGAGTCCAGGATGGAGTACTTAAGGCAAGCATGAAGGTATTAGGAGCCCAGGAGGAGTCAGTGGGAAGCAGTACAAGGGTATAAAAATGGAAGTAGAAGAATGTCTAAAACAAACAGATCCTATCAAAATTTTATCTAAGGATAGTCCTGAGCCTAAAAAAGGAAACTCTTCCTTATTCTTCTTATAGCTTTGGCTGTCTACCTCCAGAACACAGAACTCAGACTTGCTCCTGTATCTTATGGGTCAAATGGGGCTTTTGAGGGCTGATCTTGCAAGATTACCAAAGTTGACTAAATCGTTTTATGGGAAAACATCAAATTCAACAAACAGAATTGGCAACAAACTTTTAGAATACAATACCTTTGGTAGGTGAAGGCTAGTTTACCTGTTTAGGAATGTAAGACTGAAATACAGTTTTATCATGGGGTATGTCCCAGACCAAAGCACTGGACTAACTCTCAGGCTTACTGAGGAACTGAGAGAGATCAGTCAGGCAGAAAGGCACTGGATAATTCACCCAGGAAGTAAGTATTGAGGAGTCCACAATGTGTGAGCACAAACAAAAATTATACTAATTAAGCCACTTTTCCCACTACATCTTAATTTAAGTCATATCAATTCTGAATACATATTTCTTTCGCTTTCGTAATTCACCTGCATTGTTTTTTTTTCAAAACTCTACTTAAATTGGACTTTACACATGAAACCTTGGAGGAATTCCATCTCACTCTCACTACTTTATTACATATACACACAACTCTAATTGACTTTGTTATATATGTTATGTCCATCGTTTTCATTTTAAATCTTAAAGGTAGGTACAAAACCAGGAATATCTTTTGTAACATCCTACTGCATTTAGCAAAATGACTCAGAAAACAGAGTAAGATCATAAACAGTTTCATATAGTATGGAAAAAACATGTAGGCTTCTGGGAAACGACAGTATCAAAGAGACAAATTTGGCATCCAGCTGTTAGTGATGAGTGACTCTGAGAACAAAAGCATCCAACAACACTGAGGGAAATAACTTCAAGTTATTAATATATTTTGAGCCATTCCCTAAGTAGAGATGGTAATCACCATCAGTAATATCATTTTCTAAGATGAAGAACAATATTATGACTAGATGATCATCTCTGGTTTGGAAATAGAAACTACAGAAATTGAGTAGAAAACATGGCACATATGAAGTCTGATTGTTCAAAACCACTTCTTAAAGCTGGTCACAGAAGCTCAAACATCATTCTAAAATTCCCCTAAAATAATCAGCACTTATAATTTGGGAAAGGCTCCTGTATTCTCAATAATCATGCAGTAAGATTTAATTCTTTTTTGGGGTTTTGTTTTGTTTTGTTTTGCTGTTGCTTTTGTTTTTGTTTCTTGAGACAGAATCTTGCTCTGTCGCTCAGGCGGGAGTGCAGTGGAGCAGTCTCAGCTCACTGCAACCTCCACCTCCCAGGTTCAAGTGATTCTCCTGCCTCAGCCTCCTGAGTAGCTGGGACTAAAAGCACATGCCACCAGGCCCCAGGTAATTTTTGTATTTTTAGTAGATATGGGGTTTCACCATGTTGGCCAGGCTGATCTCGAACTCCTGACCTCAAGTGGTCCACCCGCCTCAACCTCCCAAAGTGCTGGGATTACAGGCATGAGCCACCACGCCCAGCCTTAATCCTTTTTTGGATACAACTCTATCTGCACAATTTGTGATCCTTGTGGTAATCAAGGAATATAATGTACCTCCATCAGGTAGATAAAAATCTCAAAATCTGACAATACCAAGTGTCGGTGAGGATATGGAGAAACAGGATCTCTCTTGTTCCGTTGGTTAGAGTATAAATTAGTACAATTATGGAAACTGCTTCATGATAGCCGGTAGAGTTGAAAATATGCATATATTAAAACTCAACATTTTCTCTCCTAAGCATAGTACCTTAGACAGAGTCTCACACATGTGCACAAGGAAACAAGAACAAAAATGCTCATTGCAACAATGTTGCTAATAGTTAAAACTTTGGAAATAATCTAGATGTCCATCAACAAGGAAATGAAAAAATTGGTTGTGGTATATTTATAATGAAACATAATATAGAAGTTAAAATGAATGAACTAGAAATGTGATTCTCACTGAGAGAAGGGGTGATGTCACCACCAATAGGACATTTCAAAATGTCTGGAGACACTTTTGGTTGTCACAACTCAGAGTGCAGCAAGGGAGTACTACTGGCATCTAGTGCATAGAGGCCATGGATACTGCCAATTATCCTGTAATGGACAAGAAAGCCCCTCACAACAAAGAATGATCTGGCCCCAAATGTCTATAGCACTGAGAATGAGAAAGCTTGAAGTAGAGCTGCAAGTAGCAACAGGGATAAATCCCATTAACATAGTTTAGAAAAAAAAGTTTCAGAAGAAAGTCAGATTGTCCCTGTTTGCAGGTGGCATGATCTTATATACAGAAAACCCTAAAGAATCTACTAAAAAACAGAACTAAAAAATAAATTCAGTAAGTCACAGGATACAAAATCAACTTATTAAAATCAGTAGTGTTTCTATATGCTAATAGCAAACCACCTGAAAAAAAAATTCCATTTACAATTGCTACATAAAAAAAAGATACTTAGGAATAAACTTAACCAAGGAGGTGAAAGATCTCTACACTAAAAGCTATAAAGCACTGGCTGGGTGCGTTGGCTCACACCTGTAATCCCAGCACCTTGGGAGGCTGAGGGGAGCAGATCACCCGAGGTCAGGAGTTCGAGACCAGCCTGGCCAACATGGAGAAACCCTATCGCTACTAAAAATACAAAATTAGCTGAGTGTGATGGTGCACACCTGTAATCCTAGCTACTTGGGAGGCTGAGGCAGGAGAATCACTTGAACCCTGGAGGCAGAGGTTGCAGTGAGCTGAGATCATGCCATTGCATTCCAGCCTGGGTGACAGAGTGAGACTCTGTCTCCAAAAAAAAAAAAAAAAAAAACTATAAAACATTGATGAAAGAAATTGAAGAAGACATAAACAAATGAAAAGCTATCCCATGTTCATGGATTGGAAGAATTAATATTGTTAAAATGGCCATACTACCCAAAGCAATCTATAGACTTAATGCAATCCCTATAAAAATATCAATGACAGTCTTCACATAGGAAAAAACTACCCTAAAATTCATATGGAATGACAAAAGTCCCCAGATAGCCAAAGCAATCTGAAGCAAAAAGAACAAGGCTGGAGGCATCACACTACCTGACTTGAAAATATACTACAAGGCTATAGTAATCAAAGCAGCATAGTATTGGTATAAAAACAGGCACATACACAATGGAACAGAATAGAGCCCTAAAATAAATTCATGCACCTACAGCCATCTGATTTTCAAAAAAAGGTGCTAAGAACACTGTTAGTCCATTTTTGCATCACTATAAGGAAATACCTGAGACTGGGCAATTTATAAAGAAAAGAGAATTTATTTGGGCTCATGGTTGTACAGGCTATACAGAAGCATGATGCTGGCATTTGCTTCTTGTGAGGGCCTCAGGAAGCTTACAATTATGGCAGAAAGCGAAGGTATGCCAGCATGTCACATGGCAAGAGAATGAGCAAGAGAGACAGGGGGAGGTACCAGAATCTTTTAAACAACCAGATTTCTCCTTCCTGTAAGAGATGGTGAAAAACAAACTAACAAACAAACAAAAACAAACAAAAAAAACCCCCCACCATATCTTGCTTATCACCAAGGAGATGGTGCCAAACCCGTCATGAAGGATCTTCCCCTATGATCCAATCGCCTCCCACAAGTCCCACCTCCAACACTGGGAATCACATTTCAACATGAGATTTGGAAAGGACAAACATCCAAACCATAACAAACACACACTGCTCTCTTCAATAAGTGGTGCTGAGAAAACTGAATAGCCACATGCAGAAAAATGAGACTAGACCCCTACCTCTCATCATATACAAAAATCTACTCAAAATGGATTAAATGCTTAAATATAAAATCTGAAACTATGAAACTACTAAAAAAAAACATGCAGGAAATGCTTTACAGCACTGGGCTTAGCAAGGAAGTTTTGAGTGGACCTCAAAAGCACAGACAACAAAAGCAAAAGTAGACAAATGAGATTACATAAAACTGAAAAGCTTTTACACAGCAAAGGAAACAATTAACAAAGTAAAGAGACAATCTACAGAATGGGAGAAAATATTTACAAACTATACATTTATCAAGGGGTTAATATCCAGAATATATAAAGAACTTAACAACCACAAAATAAGACTCGTCATTTGGTCATTTTTTAGTCAGGTTATTTTGTGGTCATTAAGTTCTTTATATATTCTGGATATTAACCCCTTGATAAATGTATAGTTTGTAAATATTTTCTCCCATTCTGTAGATTGTCTCTTTACTTTGTTAATTGTTTCCAATGACGAGTTAATGGGTGCAGCACACCAACATGGCACATGTATACATATGTAACAAACCTGCACGTTGTGCACATGTACCCTAAAACTTAAAGTATGATAATAATAAATTTTTTTAAAAATGACCAAAAGACTTTAATAGACATTTCTCAAAAGAAGACATACAAATACCCAACAAGCACATGAAAAAACACTCAACATCACTAATTGTGTTAGGCTGCTCTTATATTGCTATAAAGAAATACCTGGCCAGGCACAGTGGCTCACACCTGTAATCCCACCACTTTGGGATGCCAAAGCAGGCAGAATGCTTGAGCCCTGGAGTTTGAGACAAGCCTGGGCAACATGGCAAAACTCAGTCTCTACAAAAAATACAAAAATTAGCCAGGTGTAGTGGCACACACCTGTATTCCCAGCTACCTGGGGGCTGAGGTGGGAGGATCACGTAAGCCCAGGAGGTCAAGGCTGTAGTGAGCTGTGACTGGGCCACTGCACTCCAGACTAGGTGAAAGAGCAAGACCCTGTGTCAGTTAAAAAAAAAAAAAAGAAAGAAAGAGAAAGAAAGAAAGAAAGAAAGAAAGAAAGAAAGAAAGAAAGAAAGAAAGAAAGAAAGAAAGGAGACTGGGTAATTGATAAAGAAAAAAGGTTTAATTGACTCACAGTTCTGCAGGCTGTACAAGTATGGTGTCAGTATCTGCTCAGCTTCCAGTGAAGCCTCAAGGAGCTTTTGTTCATGGTGGAAGGTGATGTGGGAGCAAGAGAGACAGAATGGGAGGTGCCACACACTTTTAAACAACCAGATCTCATGTGAACTCACTCATCACCAAGGGGATAGTGCAAAGCCATTAATGAGGGATATGCCTCCATGTTCCAAACACTTCCCACTAGGCTCCACCTCCAACACTGGGGATTACATTTCAACATGAGATTTGGCCAGGACACAGATGCAATCCATACCACTGATCACCAGGAAAATGCAAATGAAAACCACAAGGAGATACCAACTCACTCCAGTTATTATCAAAATAACAAAAGAAAAGAGGGGTGGTGATGATATGGAGAAAAGGGAACCCTTATACACAGTTGGTGGGATTGTAAATTAGTATAGCCACTATGGGAAACAGTATGGTGATTCCTCAAAAAATTGAAAATTGAACTACCATATGATCCAGCAATCCCACTACTGGGTATTTATTCAAAGGAAATGAAATTGGTATGTTGAAGAGATTATCTGCATTGCCATGTTTATTGCAGCAGTATTTGCAATAGCCAAAATATGGAATCAATCCATGTCCGACAATGGATAAATGCATAAACAAAATGTGGTGTATATATATACATGGAATACTATTCAGCCATAAAAAAGAATAAAATTCTGCCATCTGTGACAACATGGATGGACCTGGAAGACATCATGTTAAGTGAAGTAAGCCAGACACAGAAAGACAAATACCACATGATCTTGCTCATGTGGAATTTCAAAAAAAAAAAAAAAATGGTTGATGTCATAGAGTAGAACAGTGGTTACCAGAGACTGGGGAGGGAAGGATGGAAAGAGTCTGGTAAATGGCTACAAGGTCACATTTAGATAGAAGGAATAAGTTCTGGTGTTTTTATTGCACAGTAGGTTGAGGATTGTTAACAGTAAGGTATTGTACATTACAAAATAGCTGGATGAGAGGCTTTTGAATGTTCTCATCACAAAGCACTGATAAATGTATGAGGTGATAGATATGCTAAATACCCTGATTTGATCATTGTACAACATGTAGATGTATCAAAACATCAAATTGTACCCCATAAATATGAATAATTATAATGTGCCACAAAATAATTTTAAAAACAAATGAACTAGAAGTATTTTTATGTATCAATATATGTTGATAAATAAATGCATGTTCTAAGAAAACAATGTTCTAAGAAAAATGTTCTAAGAAACATTGTTCTAAGAAAACAATGTTCTAAGAAAAATGCAAATGACAAAGTGATAGTTTGATACCATCTAATACATTTTAAAATATGCAAGACAAAAGAAAACAATGCTTATGAATAAAAAATAAAATAAAATGTTGATGTTATGTCCAAAAAAAGGATACAAAGGTTTAAAAACATAAAACAATGTTATACATTGTTTTTGTATGCACACATATATAGTTGTGATAGTAAAAATATAAAAATGTGCACAGACATGATAAACTCCAAATTCAACAGATTGAGGGGAGAGAGGGGAGAGGAGTGACTTGAGAGGAGCACAAAGGGGAAATGCAACTATATATTTAATGTTTAACTTCTTAGGCTGGGTAGTAAATACACAGGTATGTCATAGGACTACCTATACTCATTGTAGGCCTAAATTATTTCATCTCATAAAGCCAACTCATTTTAATGGGAAATGAAAAAGAAAAAAAATACAAAGTACGTAGAAATTAAGAGAAAAGTTACTGAAACTGAAATAATTCAATAAGTAAGACCAATGATAAATTCATATATATAAAAAGCCCAAATAACCCATTTTATTATACCAAGGCTATAAAAACGTGCTTATTTTATTAAATAAATAGATGATTTCTAGCTATGCAAATAACAATCAACTAGTTGCCTTCAAGGTATCTATATAGTATTTCCAGATCAATTAATTTTTTTCCTACCCATTCACTTTTATTTAAAATTGCTACCACATTCTAAAATGAAAACAAAAGGGGAAAGCATTAGCTTCTCTATTATTTTATATAATTCATCCTTTTCTTTTAAATTGTATAAACCTTTAAAATGAAAATTAATCTTATTACTTAACTTGTTTCCAAAATACTAAGTGTCTAATTTCTTTCATCAAACAACCAGTATTATATAAACAGAGGACTAAGATTCCAGATGAAACAACTGAAGTAGGCAGGTGTATGTTTGCCAGGCACAGTTGCTCACGCCTGTAATCCTAGAACTTTGGGAGGCCAAGGTGGGCAGATAATGAGGTCAGGAGTTCGAGACTAGCCTGGCCAATATGGTGAAATCCCGTCTCTACTAAAAATACAAAAATTAGCCGGGCATGGTGGCACACGCCTGCAATCCAGCTACTCGGAGAGTGAGGCAGAGGCAGAAGAATCGCTTGAACCCGGGAGGCAGAGGTTGCAGTGAGCTGAAATCACGCCACTGCACCCCAGCCTGGGTGACAGAGTGAGACTCCATCTCAGGAAAAAAAATAAAATAAATAACAGTTTTTTTTATTTGACCATTCCTAAAAGATTAGGTAGTAATACTTAAACACAGTAATAAGGTCAAAAAAGAACAGAACATTCAAATTAAAAGGCAATGTACTTCACTGGTCATTTTTGTGACTCCTAGAGTAGTCATAGCATCTCTACAAATAAGTTGTCCTATGATAACAATACAGATGCTTCAGATTCCTATAGCACTGCATGTGTCTCACACCAATCCTGCTACGTAAATAGAATCATAACCTCCTTTTAAAATTAAGGAAGCTAAAGCTGAGACTTGTCTATGTTCATACAGCCAATTCAGGCTGGAGTCCAAAGCTAACAATAACCTCAAAAGGATTAACTTAACAGGGCAATGTGTGCAAAAGTCATAAAGTAAAACCAGCCAAAGGTGAGAGTGGTGTGGAGAGAATGCTTGAAAAATACCAATACCCTGCAATAAACACAGGTAGAGACAGGTTCCCCAAAAGTGAGAAATATGCCTCAAGTATATATGTGCCTTTCCAACAGGGGCTAAGCAATTGCTGCCATGTCAATAATAGACAAAAGGTAGAAACATGTTTTTAGTGTGTGTGGAACTTTTCTTGCAAGGCAGCTATCATTATCTCAGGAAGGTAGGGGGAAGTAGAATTCAACTACTTGAAATTACAAATGAGTCAGCTACTTTTCAACAATGTTATGTGTTAAATATGGTCTTGGTGCAGGAATCTTTGAGTCTATGAAGGCTATTTGGTGATTGGAATGCCTCCTCTCCCTCATCAAAACAATCACCTGATTACACATGTAATACCCATGTAACAAACAAGCACATGTACCCCCGAATATAAAAATATTAAGAAAATTTATTTTTAAATCATCTGATTCAACTTGTCAGACACAATCTATGTCTAAATCAAGAACTGCCTGTAATGTTATTGCTTTCTTCTAAGACAAATTTACTTCTAAGACAAAATAGTGCCAAAACCAACAAATGCGAAAACATTAAATGCCTATGAAAACGAAAATAACTGTCAGTATTTAACCACTTATGTAGAATAAGTTGAAAAAACAGGCTAGACATGGTGGCTCACGCCTGTAATCCCAGCACTTTGGGAGGTCGAGATGGGCGGATTGCTTGAGCCCAGGAGTTCGAGACCAGCCTGGGAAACATAGTGAAACTGTGTCTCCACAAAAAATGCAAAAATTAGCTGACCACGGTGGCACACTCCTGTAGTCCCAGCTACTCAGGAGGCTTAGGTGGGAGGACGGCTTGAGCCCAGGAGGCAGAGGTTGCAATGAGCCAAGTTCATGCCACTGCACTCCAGCCTGGACAACAGAGCAAGACTATCAAAAAAAAAAAAAAGGAAAAAGAAAAAACACTTATTTTATATTTATCATAACTTGTTAAGAATAAACTACAAGAAAACAATAAAAGTTTGGTGAGGCTGAAAAGGACAACTCAGTTTGGCCAAACATTTCAAGTATACCATTAATTTTATAAAAGTCATTACTAAAAAATAATGATGCTAAATGCTAATTACCCAACCAGACATTAAAGAGTCTTTAAAAGTTTTAATTATTAAAAAGTCTTGTGCTAAGAAAACAACCTGATGTTATGGGCTAAGGACCTTAAAAGACAATTCACCAAAGAAGATATACAGATAATATATAAGCATATGAAAAGATGCCCCACATCATACGTCATCAGGGAAATGCAAATTAAAACAATGATGAGACACTACTACATATCTATTATTAGTAGAATGGCCAAAATCCAGAACACTGACAACACCAAATGCTAAAGAGGATGTGGAGCAATAGGAATGCTCATTTAATGCTAGTGGAAATGCAAAATAGTACAGCCACTTTGGAAGACAGTTGGGCAGTTACTTACAAAACTAAATATAATTTACCATACAATCCAGCAATTGCACTCCTTGGTATTTGCCCACAACAGTTGAAAACTTATGTCTACACCAAAACTGCACACAGATGTTTACAGCAACTTTATTCATAATTGCTGACACTTGGAAGCAACCAAGATACCCTTTAGTAGGTGAATGGATAAATAAACTGTGGTGCAGCAAGGCAATCAAATATTATTCAGCACACACATTAAAGATGAGCTATTCATAAAAAAACTTGGAGGAAACTTATATGTGCATTACTAAGTGAAAGAAGCCAATCTGAAAAGGCTACATACTGTACCTTCTGTTCAATTTTGCTGTGGACCTAAAATTACTCTAAAAAATTGTCTATTAAAAAAAGTATTGGCCAGGCACAGTGACTCACGCCTATAATCCCAGCACTTCGGGAGGCCAAGGCAGGCGGATCACCTGAGGTCAGGAGTTTGAGACCAGCCTGGCCAACATGGCGAAACCCGTCTCTACTAAAAAAATACAAAAATTAGCTGGGCATGGTGGTGCATGCTTGTAGTCCAAGCTACTTGGAAGGCTGAGGCAGGAGAATCACTTGAACCTGGGAGGCAGAGGGTGCAGTGAGCCAAGATTGCACCATGGCACTCCAGCCTGGGTGACAGAGCGAGACTCCATCTCAAAAAAAAAAAAAAAGGTCTTGTGCTGATGTCAGAATAGAAAGATCCTTGCAACAGAACAGAAAGTTCCAGAAACGTACATATGTGTGTATATAAGAATTCAGTATATAACAAGGGCAGCAATTCACATCACTGAGAAAATCAGTAAGTAGTGCTGGGATAATACGCTAACCATTTAATAATTGTGAACATTTTTAGAAACCATCTTACAATCTATAAATTAATTCCAAGTTAAAGAACAAGATGTAAAAATAAAAAGTAAAAAATACTAGGAAAATATAAAAATAAGCATTACCTAACAACAACAAAACATTGGGTGGGGAAAGCATTTCTAAGCATAAGCCAAAACAGAAACTGTAAAGGAAAAGAGATTAAAATGTAATTAAATGAAATTTTAAAATTTTGTGTGGCAAAAACCACCATGTAAACAAACTGCAAAAACATATACATGGAATTTCTTTTTGTATTAATAAAAATATTCTGTAATTAGATAGTGATGATAGTTGCACAAGTCTGTGAACATACTAGAAATCGCTGAATTTGACTTTTTTAAATTTTTTTTAATTTTTTTCTTTTTTGAGACAGAGTCTCACTCTGTTACCAGGCTGGAGTGCAGTGGCGTGATCTTGGCTCACTGCAACCTCCACCTCTCGGGTTCAAGTGATTCTCCTGCCTCAGCCTCCCAAGTAGCTGGGACTATATGTATGCGCCTCCACACCGGGCTAATTTTTGTATTTTTAGTAGAGACAGGGTTTCACCATGTTGGCCAGGATGGTCTCGATCTCCTGACCTTGTGATCTGCCTGCCTCGGCCTCCCAAAATGCTGGGATTACAGGCGTGAGCCACTGCGCCTGGACGACATTTTTTTATTAATGAATTTATGGTATGTTAAATTATATCTCAAAAAATATATATGCCAGACAATTGACAAAATAAGAAAACCAAAATGCCAATACACATGAAGTTACTGCACCTCACTAATAACTTTTAAAATCTAAATTAAAACAGCTAAAATTAAAAATTAAAATAATTAATTAAAACAGCTAAGATACCTCATTCCCCCAGTAGATTGCTCACATGTGTCCATTACTATGTGGCTTAAAACAGAACAAAACTGGAAACGATCTAAATTTTTTATAATAGGATATTAATTAAATAAACTCTAGTGCATCACAGTGTAACACTTGTCATATTTTTGGCTACCCAGCATTCAAACACACATCCCATGCCAAGAAAATGCCCCCACCGCAAGCGTCTTAGAAATAAACAGTACAACCCTGGCTCCCATTATTAAAGCCAAAGCATGTGTGTTGTGGGAGGAAGGGAGAAGGGAGGAGACAGATATTCCTTTTCCCTGTCCCCTTGAAGCTGAGATGCTTCTAAATGATTCTAGACTTGGCTAGTCAGACACTTCTGCCCAGGATTTTGAATCATGAGAAAGTGACATGAATACACAAGGACAGATGAAGATAATTCTCAGCACAGGCAGCAATACAGTCAAGATGCCAGAAGTGGCCCTGGCAAAAGTCCTGAGAAAGCCAGTGCCAGTGAAGAGGTCCTCACTAGACTTCCTGGGGCATGTCCTTGGCCTGTTTTAGTCTCATTGTGTTCCTACCTATTTTCCAAGCCTGGTTGACTCTGATTGACTTCTGTTGTCTCTATAAACAATCCAAATAGCCTAACCAATAAATTCCGTTTCTGGTTAAGCGAGTCAGAACTGCTTTATGTTGTCTTCAAGTAAGAACCCAGCCTAATGCATGTATAATAAATACCATGTGTCCCTTAAAAACAATGATGTAGATCTCTATTTTCATACAAGAAAAATGTTAGGATACATTAAGAAAAAGCAAATTTTACCCTGCAAAAATTTATCTTAACCAACCTCCAATGGGTTAACTGATGGTCTCTTTTCTATCACTAAAATATTCAGATGCCCATAGCATGCTTAGTACTTAGATGCACACTCCTTGTTCCCACCAGTAGAATTGTTGGCATATAGAAATTCAGCTGTGTTTGCCCTCAAGCTGTTTATGTCCACTGAACTTCTCATGGCCAAGTGATTTAATTAAATATTATGTACGTTGATTAAATAACAGCAAAAAGGAGAGTTGTTCTTTCTATGAAAACAAAGTTGAATGCATTAGGAATGTTCAATAAGGTGAGTAGCAAAGTTACTGCTAAAATAGCTGTACGTGAAGCGACTTTAAGAGATTGGGGGGTAATAATAAAAACCTAAAAGAACTCTCATCTCTTAAATTTGTTCTCTATTTTAATAAAACCAAACTAGGAGATAGAAATCTGGAATGAAGCATTATGGGTGTGGTTTATACAGGGAAGGAAAGGAAGAATTCCAAAGGACCCACATGCAAAGAAAAGGTTGTGGCCCTACATATAAATATTGGAGAATAAGGCCGGGCGCAGTGGCTCACGCCTGTAATCCTAGCATTTTGGGAGGCCAAGGTGGCAGACTGCCTGAGCTCAGGAGTTCGAAACCAGTCTGGGCAACACGGTGAACCCTGTCTCTATTAAAATACAAACAATGAGCTGAGTGTGGCGGCATGCGTCTGTGGTCCCAGCTACTCGGGAGGCTGAGGCAGAAGAATTGCTTGAACCCGGGAGGCGGAGGTTGCAGTGAGCCAAGATCACACCACTGTACTCCAGCCTGGGCGACAAAGCAAGACTCCGTCTCCAGAATAAAAATAAAAATAAAATAAATACAAATAAATATTGGAGAATAAATGAACATGTTTTAGGTTTAAAAAAATGACTAGGCTATATTTACATAATTTTTACGATTCCCTTCTTCAACTGACCGACCATGGTAGAGAGTTTCTACCATGTTTCCATTGTCTGTGAGGAAAGAGTCTGGACCATATCACAGAACAAAGAAGAAAAAACTACCGACGTCCACTTTGTTCTTCCCATCATTGCATTTTCCCCAGTGTTTGCCCTATAAAGCCATGGCTGCAATGTCCTATTATAAATGGATATGTCCATTAGGTTTTGCTGCTATTCTTTAAGTTGCTGCCATTCAGAATACTCAGTGGAAGTCAGAGATGATTTTCCTCACACACAGTTTTATACAACATTTGTCTTTTCTCTCAAAATATGTATGGGCTATAGCAAAATGACTATTTTCTGAGAAAGGCAGACACTTTTTTAAAAGACTTTTTAGCCAGGCGCGGTGGCTCACGCCTGTAATCCCAGCACTTTGGGAGGCCAAGGCAGGCGGATCACGAGGTCAGGAGATCGAGACCTTCCTGGCTAACACGGTGAAACCCCGTCTACTAAAAATACAAAAACATTAGCGGGGCGTAGTGATGGGCGCCTGTAGTTCCAGCCATTACAGGAGGCTGAGGCAGAAGAATGGCATGAACCTGGGAGGTGGAGCTTGCAGTGAGTCGAGATCGTGCAACTGCACTCCAGCCTGGGTGACAGAGCAAGACTCCGTCTTGAATGAATGAATGAATGAACGAATGAATGAATGAATGAATGAATAAATAAATAAATAAATAAATAAATAAATAAATAAATAAATATTTTTAAATTGTGGTAAAATGGCCAGGCATGGTGGCTCACGCCTGTAATCCCAGCACTCTGGGAGGCTGAAGAGGGCGATCACCTGAGGTCAGGAGTTCCAAACCAGCCTGGCTAACATGGTAAAACCCCGTTTCTACTAAAAATACAAAAAATTAGCTGGGTGTGGTGGCACACACCTGTAATCCCAGCTACTCAGGAGGCTGAGGCAGGAGAATCGCTTGAACCCAGGAGACAGAGGTTGCAGTGAGCTGAGATCGCACCATTGCACTCCAGCTTGGGCAACAAGAGCGAAACTCTGTCGCAAAAAAAAAAAAAAAAAAATTGGCCAGGCATGGTGGCTCATGCCTGTAATCCCAGCATTTTGGGAGGCCGAGGCGGACAGATCACGAGGTCAGGAGTTCGAGACCAGCCTGGCCAACATGGCGAAACCCGTCTCTACTAAAAATACAAAAATTAGCCAGGTGTGGTGATGGGCGCCTGTAATCCCAGCTACTCAGGAGGCTGAGGCAGGAGAATCACTTGAACCCGGGAGACGGAGGTTGCAGTGAGCCAAGATTGTGCCATTGCCCTCCAGTCTGGGCTACAAGAGCAAGACTCTGTCTCAAAAAAAAAAAAATGTGGTAAAATACACAATAACATAAAATTTACCATTTTAACCATTTTTATATGTAAAATTTAGTGGAATTAAGTACATGCATATTGTTGTGCAACCATCGCCACCATCTGTCTTCAGAACTTTTTCATCTTCCCAAATTCAAATTTTGTACCTATTAAAAAATAACTCCCTATTCTCCCTCCCCTTCAGACCCTGGTAACCACGGTACTACTTTATATCTCTATGATTTTAACTACTCTAGGTACTCCACATAAGTAAACTCATATAATATTTGTCCTATTGTGGCTGGCTTATTTCATTTAGCATAACACATTCAAAGTTCACCCATGTAGTATCATGTGTCAGAATTTAATTCCTTTTTAAAGCTAATGTTCTATTATATCATATATACATATTCATACCACATTGTGTTTATTCATTCATCTGTTGATGGACATTTGGGCTGCTACCACCTTTGGGCTACTATGAATAATGCTGCAATGAACACTGGTATACAAATATCTGTTGAAATCCCTACTTCAAATTGTTTTGGGTATACGTCCAGAAGTGGAGCTGCTAGATCATGTGGTAATTCTATATTTAATATTTTTAGGAACCACCATACTGTTTTCCACCATGACTGGACCATTTTACATTTTATCAACAATGCACAAGAGTTCCAGTTTCTCGCCAACACTTGATATTTTCTGAGGTTTTTTTTTTTTTTTTTTTTTAGTAATAGCCATCCTAGTGGATGTGAAGTGGTAATACACTTATTTTTTATATTTCAGAAATTTCAATGAAGAATTGAAGAATCAAAATTAACTATGAATAAATGGAAAGATACATTTCATTGTCAGTCATTTCCTTGTTATTTTATTTCATTTGTAATGTATTTTTATAATTTTTCTTGACTTTGCCCTCTCTTCTGATTTTCTGGCAAGAACTGGTTGTTATATATACTTTAAATGTGAAATAATTGGCTTTGATTTCTATTTCATGAACAATCAGCTTAATAGGTTAGTACAATAACTTGGAATGAGTTCAAAGGGATCAAGATAAAAGGATGTAACAACTGGTCATTAGTGGATGTTCTTGGCTCATCATATGCTTATTTTTAGAATGGATATAAAAAAGGAAATGGAATTTTTTTTTTTTTTTTTTGAGACAGAGTCTCGCCCTGTCACCCAGGCTGGAGTGCAATGGCGCAATCTCGGCTCACTGCGATCTGCCTCCCGGGTTCAAGTGATTCTCCTGCCTCAGCCTCCTGAGTAGCTGGGATTACAGACACGTGCCACCAACACCTTGCTAAGTTTTGGATTTGTTTGTAGAGATGGGGTCTCACTATGTTGCCCAGGCTGGCATCAAATTCCTGGACTCAAGCAGTCCTCACACTTAGGTCTCCCAAAGTGCTGTGATTACAGGTGTGAGTCACAGTGTCCAGCCTACCTCATCTTTTTTGACAAATATGTCTGTGATTGAAATGCAAAATCTAATGAAAAAAGCATTACCGCATATGAACACATAAGATGACCTTAGGGGTAGGAACTAGCCATCAAAGATCCTGAGGTTAAAAAATTGTAACTCAATCCATCTTATCCCACCTGTAAATTTATTTTATGTTACACCTTTGGATGAACAGTAAAACTCATAATTAAACATATATTTTTATTCTTGAAAAAAACTTGTAACCTTAGAAATATAACACTATAGAATCTTAATATAGGTCTTAATAAAAGTCAGCAAATAATATTATCCTTTCAGTATTGACCTATTAAAATAATTTGGCAAATTACTATTCTGCTACTATGTAGCTCTGCAATTTTATTGTGTAATTCTGGTCAATTAGTACATGTGTCTACAGGGACTCTGGCCTATAAACACAACATAAAGAGTTATCAAGGCAGATAAACATTAAATAGTAGTGAGCTATATCAGTTATCTAAAATATAAGAAAGATTTATAAAGTCAAAGATAATTGCCAGGCCAGGCATAGTGGCTCACACCTGTAAACCCAGCACTTTGGGAGGCCAAAGTGGGCAGATCGCTTGAGTCTGGGAATTTGAGACCAGCCGGGGCAACATGGCGAAACACCGCCTCTACAAAAAATACAAAAAAGTTAGTTGGGTGTGGTAGTGAATGACTGTGGTCCCAGCTATTCAGGAGGCTGAGGTGGGAGGATCACCTGAGCCAGGCAGGCAGTGGTTGCAGTGAGCCAAAATGTCACCACTGCACTCCAGCCTGGGTGACAGAGTCAGATCTTATCTCAATAAAACAAAACAAAACAAAACATTAAATAACATCCTCGGCCAGGCGTGGTGGCTTATGCCTGTAGTCCCAGCACTTTGGGAGGCTGAGGCTGAGGCAGGCAGATCACCTGAGGTCAGGAATTCAAGACCAGCCTGGCCAACATGGTGAAACTCCATTTCAATTAAAAATACAAAAATTAGCTGGGTGTGGTGGCAGGCGCCTGTAATCCCAGCTACTTGGGAGGCAGAGGCAAGAGAATTGCTTGAACCTGGGAGGCAGAGGTTGCAGTGAGCCAAGATTGTGCCAGTGCACTCCAGCCTGGGCAACAAGAGCAAGACTCCATCACAAATAAATAAATAAATAAATAAATAAATAAATACACACATACATACATACATACATACATACCATACTGAGGAATGACACAACTGTCCACAAAGCTAAGTCACTTTCACTGGCAGACTTGAGCCTGTTCAGCCAGACAACAAGTGAGAGAGCAGGGTAGAAAAGAGCCACTTGGGGCCGGGCACAGGAGGATCACTAGAGGATTGGCATTCAAGATCAGCCTGGGCAACACAGAAAGGTCCCGTCTTTAAATAAACTTTTTAAAAAAAATTATCTGAGCGTGGTAGTGCACCTGTAGTCCCAACTACTCCAGAGGCTGAGGAAGGATCACCTGAGCCCAGGAGTTCGAGGTTACGGTGAGCTATGATCATGTCACTGCACTCCAGCCTGAGCTAGAGACCCTGTCTCTAAAAAAATTTTAAATTAAAAATATCACTTGGCCTATCATCCCAACAGATGCTAAAGTCTACCAGTTGGGAGTTCTTTATAGGCACCTGAAAAGATGATCAGTTCATATATTATGTTACTTTATCCCAAACATATGCAGAAAAAGAGGGATAAACAATTACAAACTTTCTTCTGTGTACACTTTTTTCTTGCTGAAGGTTTATAGCATATGCTCTAATTTACAAACTTTTTTATTTGACATATAATGTAGTTGTTACAAGATGTTCAACTAAACTAGTTAAAAACACAAATTTGAGAAATTTAAATACAAACTAAAACAATGACATCGTGTTTTTTTCTTATAATGTTGGCAAAAATTTAAAAGACTTATGTATCTATTAAGCATGGTCAAGGGTATAGAAAAATATTTTATCATACTGTTAATGAAGTGTAAATCACTACGGCCTTTTTTGAAAGGCAAATTTGCAATACTTATCAACATATGATGTGTACCTAACTTGACCCAGCAATTTTACTTAAAAGAATCTAGCTACAAAAATACTTACACAGATGTATAAAGTTATAGGTATAAGCATATCTAAAATAGTTAAAATTTGGAGACTCTCTAAATGCCTATCAATTAGGGAATAGATAAATAAATTATGGTGCATCCATACTATAGAATACTATACAGCAGTTAAGAACAAGAAGCTAAATCTGCATATACTGACATGGAAGCATATCTGTGACTAGTAAAGGGTCTAGAAGAATACAAGCTATTAATAGTGATTACCCTTTGAGGGAGTGACTATCTTTTTACTTTATGTAATTCTATATTACTTTAGTTTCATTAAAACAAGCATGTATTTTTTATTTTTTTAATTTCTTATTTTTATTTTTTGCATGTATTACTTTATTATTCAGGAAAATAATTAAGAAAATGCTGAAATTAGCCAAACATTTTCTTTGTCTGAATTGGATGCATTTATTGTCTTCTATAGCTTTGGACATTTGTAGATAGCTTTTTCCCAAACCCAAGATTAAGCAGGTCATATACAGTTCCTGTTTAAAGGCAGAAATGAGCAAAGGTTAAAGATAACAAAGAGGAAACTGCAATTAAGGAAGTGAAGAAAACAACAGTAAGAGAGGGCTGACAGAAAACATACCAAAAAAGGAATTCTTTTAGTGCTGGGCACTAAAATAATTAGCAGAATGTGATTCTTTAATTTTCAAATCTGTAAGATTAATCTTAAATTTATAAGAGAATCAAAAAGAAAATCAGACAGTTTTCTTCAATCATAAAAGGATAATTTTTAAAAAGCAGCACCAACAAGTCTCACTATAATTAGTTTAAAAGCTTAGAAAGGCAGGGCACATTGACTCATGCCTGTAATCCCAGCACTTTGGGAGGCCCCAACACAGGTGGATCACCTGAGGTCAGGAGTTCGAGACCAGCCTGGCCATGGTGAAACCCCGTTGCTACTAAAAAAATACAAAAAGTTGCCAGGTGTGGTGGTGCTTGCCTGTAATCCCAGCTACTCAGGAGACTGAGGCACGAGAATCAAGAATCGCTTGAAACTGGGAGGTGGTGTTTGCAGTCAGCCGAGATCATGCCACTGCTCTCCAGCCTGGGTGACAGAGCAAGACTGTGTCTCAAAAAATAAATAAATAAACAAAAAACAAAAGCTAGAAAAATCCATTTGTGAAAAGAAAATAATACTTTCAGAGAAAGAGGGCTGGATGCGGTGGCTCATGCCTGTAATCCCAACACTTTGGGAGGCCAAGGTGAGAGGACTGCTTGAGCACAGGTGTTCAAGACCAGCCTGGACAACAAAATGAGACCCTCGTCTCTACAAAAAATAAAAAAAATTAGCCAGTCATAGTGGCACGTGACTGTGGTCCCAGCTACACAGGAGGCTGAGACAGGAGGATCACTTGGGACCCGGTCAAGGCTGCAGTAAGCCATGCTCGCCCCACTGCACTCCAGCCTGGGTAACAGAGCTAGATGCTGTCCGCTCCCCTACCCCCCCCGCAAAAAAAAAAGGAGTTCCTAAACTGGTTGAGGAAAACAGCATGTCCTGTTCTGACTTTGGGGATAGATTTAGGACAAAGGAATTTGTAACATTTGAATTAAATCTTCTACTCCAAAACTAGTAATATAGAAAATTTATCAAATTAGGAACAAGACATGGGTAAGTTACATTAAAACCCCATGGATGAGCAATTACAGAGGTTAGTATGTTAAATGAAGATTTTGATATTAGAAGATAATATGATGGTTTGGAGTTGAGAAAATATTCTTTTTTAGACTCAATCCAACAACAACAAATACCAATCAATCTGCATTGGGCAAAATAACGTTAGAGGTCTTAGAGGTCAGACTGCCTGGATAACTAAGACAATATGGTCATCTCAATCTGCCTAAAAATAGTAAACCTGAGAGAACATCTTTCTTTTTCTGAGAAAAATCTACTCAAAAGGCTCAAAGATCTGAATCTCTACCCTGGCATATCATTTCCATCTGGGTCCTATGAGTTAACATTGTTCCCACAGAAATAAATTCTGTTAGTGTGATATACTTAATTAATAAGCAAAGGAATGCAGTAATTTTATTCTTATGTTCTCATAAGCTTTAAATTGTCTAATAATTTAAATATATTTTCTATTTGGATTTTATAACATGTGATGTTAGTTCTCAGATCCACAATCAACAGAGCTTTTAAGATAACTGGGAAAAAAAATGGAAAAGAATTCACTCATGAACTATACTCTAAAGATAAAAATGAAAACTTTATTATTCCCAGTGCATTTTAAAGCCTCTGTAATGCCCATCTTCCCTATTTTTTCTTCTTTACACACATGGGATCATACTATATGTACTATTTTGCACCTTGCATTTTCCATTTAACATATCTTTTACACCTTGTATCAAGACATATAAACCTCCTGCCAGGTGCAGTGACTCATGCCTGTAATCGCAGCACTTTGAGAAGCCAAGGATCACTTGAGGCCAGGAGTTCAAGACCAGCCTGGGCAACATAGTGAGACCTCATCTCTAATTATTAAAAAGAAAAAAAAATTTTAAGGACATATAGACCTCCACAATAAAAAACAAAACTGAACTATCCCCAAAGAAGATAGATAAACGTACCATTTTATAAAATGGTTGTAATATTCCCTTATGTGGATATGCTATATTTTATTTAATTAGTTCCTTTTTGATTAACATTTAGGTTGTTTTCAGTTTTGTGCTATTATAAACCCTGCTTCAATGAATATCCTTGTATATACATCTTCATGAGCATATCTTTTAGATAAAATTCCTGGAAGTGTTATTGCTAGGACAAAGGGCATGTACATTCTAAACTTTGATAAATAGTTCCAAACTGCCCTCCAGAAAAACTGTATCAATTTATATACCCACTAACAACATATATAAATAGTACTTATTTATTTTTTATTTTTCCACATGTTCTAAATATAAATAGTACTTCTTAAGGCTTGTGATACATACTGTAAATTACCCTCTGGAAAGATATCATTTCACACTTACACTAGCAGTATAGGAAAGTGTCTAGCCACACTTTTATCAGGTACTATGAAAATTCTTTTTAAGCTTTGTCAATCTGTTATGTGAAAAATGATCATCTGTTTTTTATCTCCAATAACTTTGTGAGATTTTTTGACCATTTGTATTCTTCATTTGTGAACTGCCTGTTTACTTCCATTGTGCATTTTTATTTTGGGTGTTTACCTTTTTTGTTACAGATAGGTAAGAGATCTTTGCATATTAAAGATATTCATCATTTACCTGTCACATATTGTTAGTCTTTTTTAAGTTTCTTGTTTATCTTTTATCTGTTTGTGGGGTTTTTTAATTTTTAAGTACCATGCCTTTGGTGTCAGGCTTTGGAAGGCCTTCCTTACCTCAACTTACACTCTCTTCTAGTACCTTTTGTACTTTACATTTACATCCTTAACTCATCTAGAATTTATTTTAGTTTAAGTATATAACATAAGAAACTAACTTTTTTTCTTCAAAATCATTAACTGATTGTCCCAATGCCATTTGTTAAGTAAGCCACTCTTTCCTCATCTACCTGAAAAGCTACCACTATTAAATATACAGTATACTAAATTTTTATTTGGGGGTCTCTTTCTGGATGTTTTCTTGCATTGATTTGTTATTCTATTTTGGTGCCAGTACTTTTGGAGGGGGGATGAAGAAATTCTTTAAAATTTTATTTATTGGAGTAAAAACACTTACCATGAGAGTTACCCTCTTAACACATATTTAAGTGTACAATATATTAGGTACAATGTTACTTTTTAAAATTGTTGTACATTTTAATGCATTTTTTTGTCTAATAAGGCACATCCCCCTTGTCATCCTTCTTTTTCAGAATTTCTCTGTGTGTTTTCAAATATTTACTCTTTCATATGAACCTTAACATCATTGTGTCAGATCCTCCCTCCATCAAAATCTCTTAAATTTATAGACTAACTTAAATAGAGTTAACCTCTTTTTACAATATTGAATCTTACTGCACATTTCTTAAATTTATTCCTTAGTATTTTTTTGTTTTTGGGGGGTCCCCCCCAAAAAACAAAAAAAAATACTAAGGAATAAACTTAATAAGAAGATATATACGAATAAGAGCTTTTTTCATTATATTGTCTAGATGATTATTGTTGGTGTATATGTGATATAATTGTATAACTGCATAATTTTGATATATTTAACTGCCAACCTTATTAAACTCTCTAATACCTCTCTATATTAACTCTGTAACCTTAGTAAACTCTGTAATTAGAGTGGATGTTTCAAGAAAACAAATATATCATCTAACACACATGAATTTTCTATAGAATGTATAAATTAATGTAAATGTATATCTGTTTATTTTACAGTTCCTCTGAGAGGGGAACTGTTAAGTCAGAGCATTTTCTGTTTACCTTGTACCTTTTTGCACCTTGTGTCTTCTCATTACTATGAGCATATATACTACTTTGATAATAAAAAATAAGTTTTTAAAAAGTGCCACTCTCTGACCCGGCCATACTGCTTTCAGGAATATATCCTAAGGAAATAAATGGAGGGATAATGGAAAGATACTCAAAGATACTAATATAGGAATATTCATCAGAGCAAAAATAAGTGGATATATGTACTTTTTTTTTTTTTGAGACAGTGTCTTGCTCTGTCACCCAGGCTGGAGTGCAGTGGTGCAATCTCAGTTCACTGCAACTTCCGCCTCCCAAGTTCAAGTAATTCTCGTGCCTCAGCCTCCTGAGTAGCTGGGATTACAAGCACACACCACCACACCCAGCTAATTCTTTGTATTTTTAGTAGAGACAGGGTTTTGCCATGTTGGCCAGGCTGATCTCGAACTCCTGGACTGAAGTTGTCCACTTGCCTCGGCCTCCCAAAGTGCTAGGATTACAGGTGTGAGCCACCACGCCCAGCCAAAATAAGTGGATATAAGTTAAAAGACTAATAAAATGGGAATTGGTAAAATAAATAATATTCCATATATTCAGTAGAATACACAACTATTATATTTAAATTTTCTCACATACAAAGACAGTCAATAATATATTGAATATTAAAATGAGGTTTTTTTGTTGTTTTTAAAAGGAGACATGGACAGACACACATGTATATACCTACGTAGCAAAGTTTGGAAAACTAAATAAACAGTTATCTTAGGAGTAATAATCCTGGTAGTACTCTTATAATCTGTGCTGTGCATTGTGAAGTTTTCTACAATAAACATGCCTTAATTATTTACAGAAATAAACAGGGTGACAACCCTTGTAGTGTTAAACCCATAAATTCTAGGAATTAAAAGGTTCAGCTCACTACCCATGTATATTCCTCAAACAAGTTCAAATCCCACTTTGGTTACCCCAGTCCTCTAAGAATCCTGAGACATGTCTAGTTCTAGCAGACTGTTTCACAAGGGTGGTATGGCATCTGATGGTTATGAAGAGATTTAAGTTTGTAAAGAAAAAAAAGGAACTAGAACTGAATGAGGCCTTTTGAAAATTTATGTTAATATCTTGTTCCCTATTACACTTGAAATTTCAGGATACTTATAAAAAGAAAGCATTTACCTTCCATCCCAGGCTGCCTGAACCGCAAGATAAATGCTTTTCTGTAACAGATTCTGAGAAACTTAAGTAGGTGTTATGCTCACGAAATTTATCATTAACTTGCACAATGGTCTACTGAAAGCTCAAGCAGTGGAAAAAGTTTATCTGGTATAACCAGCAAATTCCAGTAAAGTAAGACGCTTACGATAAATAAATGTGTGTGTGTATATCCATACCCATATTTTTAAACTAAAATACACATTCTATGACTTTTCATGTGACATATTAGTTAATAAATCATCATTTATTTTCTTTAATGAAATTGTACTATATATGCTACCAAGCTGATAATATAGATTTTGGGAGGGGTGGTAATTAGTACACCAGACCAAATATTAACACTGACAACATGCCCATCAATTTGGTGACAATTGGCGAGAGAGAGAGGGGTAGTGGGGTGTGTGTGTGTGTGTATGTGTGTGTGTGTGTGTGTGTGTGAGAGAGAGAGAGAGAGAGAGAACCATCCCATCACCTCCAAAATCCCTCATGCCATGCCTTTATTTTATAACCAATACTTCCCTATACCCCCAAACCCTGGCATCCACTGTTTTCCTCCCTATAGTTTTGCTTTTTCAGATTTTTATATAAATGGAATGATTATTCATATAAGTGGATAAATGAAATGATACATAGCCTTTTGTATCTGGTGTCTTTCACCTAGCAAAATGCATTTTAAGATTAATCTGTTATTGCACGAATCAAGGAGTATATTCCATGGTATAAAAATACAACAATCTATTCATCTTTTTCACCAGTTGAAAGAACTGGGTTGTTTCCAATTTTTAGTGACTAATGCTGAACAATGCTACTATAAACATTGATATACAGGTTTTTGTGTAAACACAGGTTTTCATTTCTCTTGGAGAGATATCTAGAAGTAGGATTGCTGAGTCATATTGGAGATACAGGTTTAATTTCATAAGAAACTGCTGGCAAACTGTTTTCCAAAGTGGCAGTATCATTTTGTATTCCCATCAGAAACGTATAAAAGTTCCAGTTGCTCTGCACACTTGCCAACAACTGGTATTTCCGCTTTAAGTGTACAGTGGTATCTCACTTTAATTTTATTTATAGATGATGTTTAGGATCACAACAAAATTGGGCAGAAAGTACAGAGATTTCACAAATACCTCCTACCACCATATACATACAACCTCCCTCGTTAGCAACATCACATACCAGAGTGGTACATTTGTTATAATTGTTATTTTGGTTTTAATTTTCATCTGCCTAATCTGCATTTCCTTTATTTGCTATTTTCATATCTTCTAGGTGAAGTGCCTATTCACATCTTTTACCCATTTTGTTATTTGGTTGTTTCCTCATTGTTAAATTTGGAGGCTTTTAAAAGTTTATTATGGATACAAGTCTTTGTCAAAAATGTGATTTGCAGCTGGGCACAGTGGCACATACTTGTAGTCCCAGCTATTCAGGAGGCTGTGGTAAGAGGATGGCTTGAGGCCAGGAGTTCAAGTCCAGCCTGGAGAACACAGACTGCATCTCTTAAACAAAAATTTGATTTAAAATATCTTCTCCTAGTTTATGGCTTGTCTTTTCACTTTCTTTCACAGAGCAAAAGCTTTCATTTTAATTAAGTCCAGTATATCCATTTTTTCATTTATGGATTATGCTTTTGGGATAATATAGATTTCTAATCACATTTCTTTCAAAGTCTTTCTTTGTACAAACAGAGTAACATTTCTCCTAACTAGCAGCCTTGGTCACAAAGCTAAGAATAATAAGCAAAAACTGCCACTAGTGTTGTTTAATGGGTATAGAGTTTCAGTTTGGGAAGATGAAGAAAGTTCTGGAGGTGGATGGTAGTGATGGTTGCACAACAGTATGGCTATACTTAATGCCATAGAACTGGTATAGTTAAACATGGTTTAAATGGTAAATTTTATGGTATGTGTATTTTACTGTAAGTTTTTAAAACTTGAAAGTGAGCAACAAAAATATGTCAGGAAAGTCTATACTCTAAGTTCATGCACACTATTTGTCAGAAGAATACTTCAGGCACTGATAAAACCAAGGCAATGGAGCCAAAACTTCACTTTGGATTCATGAATGATGAATGAGGGGTCCATTTCCAAGAGAAGAGATGGCTGGCCAAAAGGCACCATGCCTTGCACTTTGTAGAGAGGTTGTCTCATTTAGTCCTCATACTTATCCTATGAGGAAGATACTATATTAGCTTCTTTCACAATTAAGGGAACTAAGACTTGGAGGGCAAGGTTGCCTGTTCAAAATTATATTAATACTTGAATCAGTTAAATCAAGAAGTGAAAATTAGCGTAAGCCACCAGACAATCTGACCCAAGAACTCTCACTCTGGGCCACTGCTCCATACTGTCTCCAAGTCTGTAAAATAAAACTGTCTTCACTCAGCTTTTGTTTTGAGAAATTTAGAAGTTTTAAAAAACTAAAAATTATTTAACAAACATTCCTTGGGGACTGTTAAAATGTAATTTCACTAGATTGGCTTCCCACAGTACCTTGAACAAAGATAAGCTACATGTTATCATTTACTCTGCAGTGGAATGGGTAACAGCTCTACATCTTAAGTCAACTGGCCTGGTGTCAAATCCTGGCTCTGGCTTTGTGCTAAAGAATCTTACGCATCTTAGTTCATATGAACAAAATTGCTAATTTGGGGTGATAAAATCATACAACCCTAGAAGCTTCTTTACTCAAAATGTATTGTTTATGTCCTGTCTTGAAGCCTCCAAAATATAGGTAAGCTTCACTGTTACTGTGAAGACCCAGTAATGCTTACAATATTTTAAATCTCTATAAAAGTCAGCTATTTTTTATAAAAAGAATTACCTTGCACATATCACTTCATCAATAAAATAGTTAAGTATTTAACAGCAGTGGTTCTGGAATCAGGCTACCTCTGTTCAAATCCTGGCTCTGCCACTTGCTAAATTTAAAGCCCTGGGCCTGTCACTTGTCTCCTTAAGCTTTAGTTTTCCATGACTGAAAAAGAAAAGAATTGTTATAGCATTGCTATGAGCATAAAATGAAACAATCTATATAAATTGCTTAGTATAGTCCCTCATACACAGTAAGACACCAGTGCACATGAACTATTCCTGCTTTTTATTAGTAATATTAAAACGTGTGGGAGTAGCATTATAAATCAAATCATAGAAAGGGCATTTTGCAAATCTGCAGAGACAGCAATACTCTAAGTAATTAATTCTTAAAGAACTCAGCCAAGCGTGGTGGCTCATGCCTGTAATCCCGCATTTGGGAGGCCAACGCAGGGGGATTGCTCAAGCCCAGTAGTTCAAGACCAGCCTGGGCAACATGGTAAAATGCCATCTTTACAAAAGACACACACACAAAAAAAAGCCAGGTGTGGTGGTGCACACCTGCAGTCCCAGCTACTCTGGGGGCTGACACTAGATCACACCACTACACTCCAGCCTGTGCAACAGAGTAAGGCTGTTTAAAAAAAAAAAAAAAACTATAACTTATCTCACTTGGTGCTCATAAACATTGACCACCCCAACTAATGCTACCCTCTGCCAGTCCCTCTGTATCACAATCCCTTGTTTTATATGTTATCAGACAGGTTGAGCATTCCTAATTTGAAAATCTAAAACCTCAAATGCTCCAAAATCTGAAACTTTTAGAGTGCTAACATGATGCCACGAGTTGAGAAATTCCACCCCGACCTCATGTGATGGGTTGCAATCAAAATGCAGGCACACAACAGTTTATTCAGCATCCCTAAGGGGGAAAAAAAGGCCCTCCCAGCTCCCTTCAGCTGCAATGTACCTGCGTGCATTCATAACAGAACAAGACATCATATCTGTCCAAAATATCAAAGAGAGACTTCTAAGAAAAAACCATTGTTAATGAGGCAGAAGACTGTAGAGGAAACTTCAGGGTTTTTTTTCGATACAGGGTCTTGCTCTATCACCCAGGCTAGAGTACAGTGGTGTTAACATAGCTCACTGCAGCCTCAAATTTCTGGGCTCAATCAATCCTCCCACCTCAGCATCCCAAGTAGCTGGGACTACAGGTGTGTGCCACCACGCCCAGCTAATTTTTTTTTAAATGTTTAGGAGAGACGAGGTCTTGCTATGTTGCCCAGGCTGGTCTCAACCTCGTGAGCTCAAGCAATCCTCCTGCCTCGGCCTCCCAAAGTGCTGGGACTACAGACATGAGCCATCACGCCTGGCCTAGAAAAGACATTTTAAAAAGCCATACAGCAGAATGCCTCCTCATCCCTACAGGACCTACTTCTAATGTTTCTTTTCACCTAAAAACATAAAATATAGTATATAGTAATCTTTTAATCAAAACACAGTATCATAAGTAGAGACTGAAAACTTGCTGTTGTTTGTTGCTGTGGTTTAACAGCTAAAAAAGGAACTCTGGTGATGCTACTGTACTGCTTGCTACCCTGAACACCTTGTTTTTTCACTGTATTAATGGTATGTCATGTTTTTTAATTGATTAAAATTTACAGTTATGTGAATAAGTGCAAGAAAATGATTGCTTACCAGTAGCATATAAATTCAGAGTCAGGAACAATGGTTAGGTCGATCACAGATTGTCCACATGGGTGGCTGAGATAGTGACACCTTTGCTTTCTAATGGTATATTGTACACAAACTTTGTTTCATGCACAAAATTATTTAAAATATTAATAAAATTAACTTCAGGCTATGTGTACAAGTTATAGATGAAACATAAATGAATGTCATGTTTAAACCTGAGTCCCATCCCCAAGATATCTCATTACATATATGCTAATATTCCAAAATCCAAAAATTCCGAAATCCGAAACACTTCCGGTCCTAAGCATTTCTGATAAGGGATACTCAATTGGTACCACCTATTGCTACTTGGTCTCTATTTTCTTTGTTTACTTATTTACTGTCAGTCTCCCACTTCCAGAACATAAGCTCCATGAGAACAGGGAGGCATAATGGTTAAAAACAGACTCAAGTTCCAGTCCAGCCTGGGTAACACAGCAAGACCCCTGTCTCTACAGTTTTTTTTAAACAGACTCAAGAGCAAGACTGTCTGGATTTGATTCCTATCTCTGCTGCTTGCTAGCTGTGTGGCCTTGGCAAGCTATTTAATCTCTGTGCCTCAGTTTCCTTATCTGTAAAACAGAGATCATAACATCATCTGTTTCAGAGGGTTGTTTCGAGAATTCAACAACTTAATACATGTAAAGCACACAGTAAGCATTCAGTAAATGTTAGCTATTATGACAGACCTGGTTCACTGCTGTCATTCCAGCAGCTTGAGCAGTACTTGCACAGAGTAGGCACCTAATAAACATTTATTGAAAAAATGAACAGTAAGAGTTCAATGCTGCAGTTGGAGACAGTCTTAAGAATGTTCCTGCTCTCTCCCTCTCCCTCTCCCTCTCCCTCTCCCCACGGTCCCCCTCTCCCTCTCTTTCCACGGTCTCCCTCTAATGCCGAGCCGAAGCTGGACTGTACTGCTGCCATCTCGGCTCACTGCAACCTCCCTGCCTGATTCTCCTGCCTCAGCCTGCCGAGTGCCTGCGATTGCAGGCGCGCGCTGCCACACCTGACTGGTTTTCATACTTTTTTCGTGGAGACGGGGTTTCGCTGTGTTGGCCGGGCTGGTCTCCAGCTCCTAACCGCGAGTGATCTGCCAGCCTCGGCCTCCCGAGGTGCCGGGTTTGCAGACGGAGTCTGGTTCACTCAGTGCTCAATGGTGCCCAGGCTGGAGTGCAGTGGCGTGATCGCGGCTCGCTACAACCTCCACCTCCCAGCCGCCTGCCTTGGCCTCCCAAAGTGCCGAGATTGCAGCCTCTGCCCGGCCGCCACCCCGTCTGGGAAGTGAGGAGTGTCTCTGCCCGGCCGCCCATCGTCTGGGACGTGAGGAGCCGCTCTGCCTGGCTGCCCAGTCTGGAAAGTGAGGAGCGTCTCTGCCCGGCCGCCATCCCATCTAGGAAGTGAGGAGCGCCTCTTCCCGGCCGCCATCCCATCTAGGAAGTGAGGAGCGTCTCTGCCCGGCCGCCCATCGTCTGAGATGTGGGGAGCACCTCTGCCCCGCCGCCCCGTCTGGGATGTGAGGAGCGCCTCTGCCCGGCCGCGACCCCGTCTGGGAGGTGAGGAGCGTCTCTGCCCGGCCGCCCCATCTGAGAAGTGAGGAGACCCTCCGCCCGGCAACTGCCCCATCTGAGAAGTGAGGAGCCCCTCCGCCCAGCAGCCACCCCGTCTGGGAAGTGAGGAGCGTCTCCGCCCGGCAGCCACCCCATCCGGGAGGGAGGTGGGGGTCAGCCCCCGCCAGGCCAGCCGCCCCGTCCAGGAGGGAGGTGGGGGGGTCAGCCCCCCGCTCAGCCAGCCGCCCCGTCCGGGAGGGAGGTGGGGGGGTCAGCCCCCCGCCCAGCCAGCCGCCCGGTCCGGGAGGTGAGGGGCGCCTCTGCCCGGCCGCCCCTACTGGGAAGTGAGGAGCCCCTCTGCCCGGCCAGCCGCCCCGTCCGGGAGGGAGGTGGGGGGGGTCAGCCCCCCGCCCGGCCAGCCGCCCCGTCCAGGAGGGAGGTGGGGGGGGTCAGCCCCCCACCCGGCCAGCCGCCCCGTCCGGGAGGTGAGGGGTGCCTCTGCCCAGCCGCCCCTACTGGGAAGTGAGGAGCCCCTCTGCCTGGCCAGCCACCCCGTCCGGGAGGGAGGTGGGCGGGTCAGCCCCCCGCCCGGCCAGCCGCCCCGTCCGGGAGGTGAGGGGCGCCTCTGCCCGGCCGCCCCTACTGGGATGTGAGGAGCCCCTCTGCCCGGCCACCACCCCCTCTGGGAGGTGTACCCAACAGCTCATTGAGAACGGGCCGGGATGACAATGGCGGTTTTGTGGAATAGAAAGGGAGGAAAGGTGGGGAAAAGATTGAGAAATCGGATGGTTGCCGTGTCTGTGTAGAAAGAAGTAGACATGGGAGACTTTTCATTTTGTTCCGTACTAAGAAAAATTCTTCTGCCTTGGGATCCTGCTCATCGGTGACCTTACCCCCAACCCTGTGCTCTCTGAAACATGTGCTGTGTCCACTCAGAGTTGAATGGATTAAGGGCGGTGCAAGATGTGCTTTGTTAAACAGATGCTTGAAGGCAGCATGCTCGTTAACAATCATCACCACTCCCTAATCTCAAGTACCCAGGGACACAAACACTGAGGAAGGCCACAGGGTCCTCTGCCTAGGAAAACCAGAGACCTTTGTTCACTTGCTTATCTGCTGACCTTCCCTCCACTATTGTCCTATGACCCTGCCAAATCCCCCTCTGCGAGAAACACCCAAGAATGATCAATAAAAAATAAAAAATAAAAAAAAAGGTAAAAAAAAAAAAAAAAAAAAAGAATGTTCCTAAAAGACAGAGTTAAGAATGAGAGAGAGGAACTGGGGAAAGGTGTCTTCTGTGGGGTCAAAGCCCCTGTTCAGACCCCATGTACCACCTATGTAGAAAAGGCTGCTGGTCACCATTGGGGCATGATCTAAAGTCGAGAGCTGCCTTTGACAGCTAAGGAAGTCCCTGGGTACTTCCTCCTTCCTCAGCTAGTATTTACCAGAGCTTACCATCAGCAGTGCTTTGTTAACTCATTTAACCTTTACAACAATCTTGAGGTAAACATAATTTTCCCCATCCTAAAGATGGGAATACTGAGGAACAAATAGGTTAAGTAACTTGCCCAAGGTCATATAGCTGGTAAGTAGTTAAGTCTGAGTTCAAACTCAGGAAGCCTAACTCTAGAGCCCATGCCTTTAACCACTATGCATTTCAGTATTGAGTGAATGGCAGCTAGCTATCTTTTTCATTGCGGAACCCTATCATGTTACCATCTGGAATTCTTTTCTCTGGGATCATTCATTTTCCAAGAAAAGAATTCTCCAATCTCCTATCTGCAAAGCAAGGTATATTTGCTGCTATATTTGGGAGCAAGGTGTGGGGAAGGGGCTGACCACGCAGTATGCAGACTTCCACTGAATTTCCCTGTTCTCAACCCAATGCTTTAGTATCCTCCACTCTACCCCACTGTCCAGGAGCTCAGAGCCTTTCAGATTCACTTAGTACTGAGACTATACTCCTGGTCTCCTGAGAAAAACTAAGAGGTCCAATCCCTTCCTGTTCAGTTTTTAAAACATTTCCCTTATTTTCAGCCCTGGGTCTCTTCTTCACCTTTCAGGATAAACAACTTACCTTCAAATTCTGAGCCTATCATGGGTAATGTGAGATTAAAGAGCTCACTTCTCATTAATATCCTCCTCTGCTGGAAGGTTCTCCCTCTTCATGTGCTTCTTATCTTCCAAAAATATATTAAATTCATCCCTCTGCTGATTTAGCTCTCCTGTTTTCTTTTCCTTGCAGGTGTAACCTTTTTAAAATCTTTTCACTGTCACATTAATGGAGTTTTGTGAAGGACGAGAGCTAAACATATGGCCAGGTGGCCACGTTTAACCTCAATATACTACTTTTATAATGTTATTCTTTCAGACGCAGATTTTTAAAATAGAAGATGATTCTGGTAGTGGGTGGAAAATGAGGTGGAGGAGAGGAGAATAAAAGAAATTAAGATTTAGCTGAGCACAGTGGCTCATGCCTGTAATCACAGAAATTTGGGAGGCCAAAGCGGGAGGATTGCTTGAGCCCGGGAGTTCAAGACCAGCCTGGGCAACATAATGAGACCCTGTCTCAAAAAAAAAAAAAAAGAAAAAGAAAAGAAACAAATTAAAATTTATTTCGTTCCTATCATACTCCAGACATTTTAAACACTTTAATCCTAATAATCACATAAAACTTTTCTCCTTCTAGAGAAGATTCAAGTTCGAAGACATAGTGAGAGCTCCTTTGCCTAATACAAATAAGTTAATGAATGATAGAATCTGACTCTAACTCAGGCCTCTGAGATTCCAAAAAGTAGGCTCTTTTCCCCTACCTTACGTTGTCTGAAAAGAATACAGCCTAAATTAATGAAAAGTAATAGTCATTAGAGTTGAAGTAATGAAGGGGATGGGTTCAAGCAATTCTTTGGGTACATGGCAGCAGCAGTGTGGCACTGTCCTCAAGCAAAAACACAACAATGGCAGGTCAGCTTTGTTAAGTTATATGCAAAGACTAATATTCCTACACAAGGCATTTTGATGGCAGAATGTCAGCCTGAATGTCCATCCTCACTCATCTCGAGAAGACAAACAGTACCCTCTTCTCCCCTTAATCTAAAAGAAACACATTAATCTTTCCAACTTTCCCACTTCCTTACCATTTCCTGTATGTTTTTCTCTTCTACCTCTTCTGAGCAGCTATTCCTTCAATCCTGGCCTCCAAAGTTCTGCAGAAACCCTTGTACGTGGTCCCCTGCCTAGCAAACACACTCCAGTAATATTTTCTCCCTGGGTTACAATTGCAACTGGTTGTCCTGACCTGACCAAAATGATGACTAGGGGGCAGGGGTACCTTAACATTGCATCATCAAGAAAAGAATTACCCATTGACGGCCTAGCACATTTATCTTCACACATACAATAAGCCCTCAATATATACTTTTTGAATGTGTACCTTCAATTTAAAAATGGGTTTCTTGAACAGTTGTTTCTCAATTTTGAAGATGAAACATGTTTTCTCATAAGAACAACTTTATAAATGATGGCTAGGTTCAAAGGTCCATTTCTTAGGAGTTTAGACAATAGCACAGTTGGACTATATATTAATAGTGCTATAACACTGTTTCGTGTGGGGAAACATATAGTAAATTCCAATTAGGAAGTCAAGATGCCAAGGAACATATATCTCTTACTGACATTCTCAGCTCTGGAAAGGACCTCTCTGCCCCATGGAGGCAGTGGTAGAAGGAAGAACACTACTCTCAACTCAAGGACAGTGAGCAATAACAGGTCGAGCACATGTCATGTCATATATATATATGAGTGTGTGTGTGTGTGTATGTGTGTTATAATTAAATCAGGTACAGGTATTCTGCTTAGAAAAGCAATAAAGCACTAAAAATACTTAATGTGTTTTAGAAAGTCTTTTTTTTCAAAATCATTAATATCAAAATAGTTTTGAGTTAACGAACTATGATATACTGCTGATGGTAGTATAAACTAACACCAATCCCTACAGAGTTTCCAAAAGACAAGTTGGCAATATTTATCAAAAGCCTTAAAATAGGCAGCCTGGGCAATATAGTAAGACCCTGTCCCTACAAAAAATTTTTAAATTAGCCGGGTGTGGTGGTGCATACCTGTAGTCCCAGCTACTCGTGAGGCTGAGGTAGGAGGATCACTTGAGGCTGCAGTGAGCCATAATTGAAGCTCTGCACTCCAGTCTGGGTGACAGAGTGAGACCCCGTCTCAAAAAAAGCCTTAAAATATACATACCTTTTGATGAGTTCATGTCCTTTGCAGGGACATGGATGAAGCTGGAAACCATCATTCTCAGCAAACTATCGCAAGGACAAAAAAACCAAACACCGCATGTTCTCACTCATAGGTGGGAACTGAACAATAAGAACACTTGGACCCACGAAGGGGAACATCACACACCGGGGCCTGTTGTGGGATGGGGGGAGGGATAGCATTAGGAGATATACCTAATGTAAATGACGAGTTAATGGGTGCAGCACACCAACATGGCGCATGTATACGTATGTAACAAACCTGCACATTGTGCACATGTACCCTAGAACTTAAAGTATAATAAAAAAAATGCATACCTTTTAACCCAGAAATTCCAGTTCTAAGAATATATTCAAAGGGGAGGAAAGGTACAGACAACTGTACTAAGATGTATGGCTAAGGATGCTTATCACAAGGTTGTTTATGTGATTGAAAAACTGGAACCAACCTAAATATCAATACAGAATTGGTCAAATATATTATCATATCTCCATTAAAAACACATAATTGTTTGCTTAATGACATCATGTCTGTGATGAGTTAAGTGAAAAAAGAGGCTACAAACAATTGACGATAGTCCTATTTCTATTAAAATGTTGTATAAATTTATATATACACATGAGAATGTGTATGTAAGAGAAAAAACTTTTGTTAGAAATCATACCAGATCAGTTAATAGGGTTGCTCTTTAAAAAAGAAAAAAAAAGAAAGAAATGATACCAGAATCTTAACAGTGGCTAATCCCTGGATGGTGGAATTAAGAGTGATTTCTACTTTCTTCATTTAGTTAGCACATATTTATTGAAGTCCCATTATGTTTCAGGTACTAATCTACGTGCTGGTGATACAGCAGTGAAGAGGGGCACTGTCTCTTCTTTCATGGGGCTCATATTCTCTTGAGGGAGATGGACAATAAGCAAACAAAGGAATGTATAAAATCAAGTAGTGAGCCAGGCGCAGTGGCTCATGCCTGTAATCCTGGAACTTTGGGAGGCTGAGGCAGGAGGATCACTTGAGGTCAAGAGTTCAAGATCAGCCTGGCCAACATGGTGACACCCCGTCTCTACTGAAAACACAAAAATTAGCTGGGTATGGTGGTGTGCACCTGTAATCCCAGCTACTTGGGGGGCTGAGGCAGGAGAATCACTTGAACTGGGGAGGTGGAGGTTGCAGTGAGCTGAGATTGCGCCACTGCATTCTAGCCTGGGTGACAGAGCAAGACTCCATCTCAAAAAAAAAAAAATTGCAAAAGTCAAGTAGTGATAAATGCTGTAAGAAAAAATAAATCTCAGAAAGGAGAGATATCTAAATATTGACTGGGGCTGGGCGTGGTGGCTCATGCCTATAATCCCAGCACTTTGGGAGGCCAAGGTGGGTGGATGACTTGAGGTCAGGAGATTGAGACCAGCCTGGCCAATGTGGCGAAACCCTGTCTCTACTAAAAATACAAAAATTAGCCGGGTGTGGTGGTGGACGCCTGTTGCCCCAGCTACTCAGGAGGCTGAGGCAGGAGAATCATTTGAACCTGGGAGGCAGAGGTTGCAGTGGGCTGAGATTGCCCCCACTGCCTGGGCGACAGAATGAGACTCTGTCTCAAATAAATAAATAAATAAATATTGACTAGATTTTGTTTTTACATTGACCATTTATCAATGTTCTAATCAGAAATAAAAGTATTTTTATTTTGGAAAAGTAAATGTATTTCAAGGATGCCTTTGTAGGATGCATGCATCAGATCCCTGAATGACAAAAATGTAAAGGGTATACTTCAGTTATTTGGAAATTCACTTCTGCAAAATACCTCATTCTTTAATGATACTCAATGAAAGATACTATAGATTTGTATAGATTACAAACGACTATGAGCCACACTGGAAGCTCAGTTTCATGAGATTCCCAGAGGCTCACCTAAAACTGCTCTACTTAATATAGAAGAGTCTAATAAACCACGAAAGAGTTGTTTAGTTTCAGTTCTGAAACTGTAGATTTGTCACTTTGCTGAGATCACTTTATGGCGTTAAAAAAAAAAAAAGCCTTATTACTTTCTGCAAATGCATATAGTGAGCCAAGTCTTTCCTTAGTTCTCTGAGACCATAAAGTTTTGAGACAAAAGAGTCTGGAGATAAAGGCAAAAAGGGATCTACAGTTGAAACCACAGAAACACTTTATAAGCAGAATATTGCAGAAGTCCAAAGAAATAAATTTCTAAGTGCAGCCTCCACTGATTAATAATAAAAATGTATATGTGAGTTTGAAAGCCTGGACATTAAAGACCCTCCTCCCCCTATCAGGAGGCTAAGGGCATGGGTACTGATGATGGCTTTTTGCTGAGCTATTTTTACTCTGTACTAGCCTCCCTTTCTTAATGAACAAACTGCATTCGGAAAACTGTGGAGCAGAGTTAGTGGCATACCTAATGACTCCAAAGAACAAGTGACTCCCACAGAGATGAAGTCTATAACCCTGGCTTCATTAGCACCATTTAGTCAGCAAAACCAAAAAGGTACCAGGTAGGTTTATACTACCAACCCTATACACGCTAGCATTTGACTCATGTTGGTGAAGACTGTAATACTCAGTATACGTGGTGTATGTTGGTAAACCATCTTGGTGATTATGCAAAGTTATCTTTCCTCTTAGGAAAGAATATAATCAATCTTGCCAATACTTTTTTTTAAAGCAGTTAACATATTGGGAGAAAATTTATTTTGCATTAATTTTTATAGCTGAAATATTTATATGGTATGATTATAAAGTAGTATACTAATGTATTTTTCAGAATACTTAGACTTTTCATAACATTCTTATTTTTCATATATTTTCTCTTTTCATCCCAAGGTCCAAAGAACAATTTTCAGCACGAAGGAAGCAAACATTCCATAAATATAGTCTAGATCTACAACCCCACCCATACCCAACCCTTCAATTCCTTTCATGTCCTGTTTTAAAGATTTAGGCTGGCTGGGCGTAGTGGCTCATGCCTGTAATTCCAGCACTTTGGGAGGCCGAGGTGGGTGGATCACCTGAGGTCAGGAGTTCGAGACCAGCCTGGCCAACATGGCGAAACCCCGTCTCTACCCAAAATACAAAAATAAGCTGGGCGTGGTGGCGCGTTCCTGCAGTCCCAGCTACTCGGGAGGCTGAGGCAGGAGAATCACTTGAACCCGGGAGGCAGAAGTTGCAGTGAGCCGAGATCATGCCACTGCACTCCAGCCTAGGCGACAGAGCAAGACTCTGTCTCAAAAAATAAACAAAGACTTAGGCCAATAAAGGTGAAACTCTGGTAACATTCTCTCTTATTCAAAGCTGAATCACTGTCAGGACAGATAAGGATGAAAAATTATGTACTGGAAATGTACGGGAGATCAGCTTCTGGAAAGGAGTTTTTAAGAAAGGAAACAGTAATTTAAAATTGTCAAAGACAACTGTTTAGCCAGGTATTTTATACAGATAAAGGGGAATGAATTCACTGAAGGCCCATATCATTTCACACCCTTGAGAATTTTCAACTGGCAGGTTTCAAGTGATTTGTAATCATAAGCAAGCAGAATCCCAAATATTGATGGCTATGAAAAATATACTAAATTGCTAGGAATAAAATAAACTGTGTGCTAATTCAAATGTATACTTCTTGAACAGAAATCAAGACAAATAATTATCAACAACAATATTAACTATTTATGGAATTTAAATATTTACTATTTCTGTAAATTCATCATAATTTGCAGGAAGTTTCCCTTTCCAGAATCCATTCCTCGTTTCTGTGGTTGTGCTTTCTTAGTTAGAAATCACTAAGATGAACTTTGTCATCTCACAAAACTGAGACTATAAAAATAGGTTGAAATCTTTAGAAACCAGGTTCTGGTAGAATAAAAAAAAGTGCGGTACTTAAAAGGGAGTTATTTCCCACCCCATTTTAGACAGGCAATTTTCACAAAGTAGATGCTTCCCTTCAGTTAGTTTGCTTTAAAGGGGATTCATCTTTTTAATTCTGAAAAAATTGTAGGGAGTCAAGCTATAATCAAATTCTAAATTTTGGTTTAGTATATTCTGTTGTAGCTGTGATATAAATTATTAAAACACCTCTTGACTATCTGCCTTTTTTCTTTTGATGAAGGCTGCATACACATACACACAAAACATAAACTTAAATGATGAAGGCTGTGCACACATACACACAAAAACATAAACCTAAATAAGACATAGGCTGAACTTATTAACATCCTCTGTCTAAAAACTATTTCTGTCTAATGTTTTATCATTGACAACACCTTCTTTTGAAAGCGGTATGAATATGAATGTAGGAAATTAAATGTGGACATATCAGCACACAAAAAAAGGTAAACAGACTCTGTCTCAAAAAAAAAAAAAGAAAGAAAGAAAAAAAAAGAAAAAGGTAAACACATTAAACTAGGAATTACCATACTTTGGCATCACTGAAACAAATTGTATCTGGCCAGATACTTTCTAATTAGTTTTCTCAACATGTACACACAACAGTAAATCTGATGGACATGGCTAGATTAATCTGAAAAGCTTAATATCATAATTATGAGTCAGGTTCCTAAAGAGTGGAAAGAGCATGGGCAGTATAAAAAGACAAATGGAGAGCCAAAATTGCCAATTTATACTAACAGAGGGAAAAAATTGTGCATGGGGAGAAGGAAAGCTCATTTGCCTAGTCAGAATCTAGGGTGCAGATGAAAATATAGCAGAAAATAACAACAACATATCTTTACATTCATATAGCATATTTGTTTACCAATAAGTCTTTCATAAATTATGTCATCTGAGACAGCAGATATATTCATTAGATCATTCAGTCATTCAATATACATTGAAAAGACCACCTTTGGCATCAGACAGACTTGGATTTGAATCCAAATTCTGTTGCTTACTGTTGTATACCTTCAGCAAATTGTTTGGTCTCTTCTGATGCTCAGTTTCCTCATCTGAAAAACACAGATAACTCTTACTCATGAGACTGCTGAGTGCTGTATATGAGATAACATGTGTAAAGTGCTTGCACATAATTCCATTTTCACCTTACTAATATGGCTAAGTTCATGTATCTTTTAGGCTCTGCACTAGTCCCAGTTGGGGATTAAAATGTAAATGAATATAATACAGGCTTTAAGGAGTTCAGGGATGCAAGGTATTCTGGTGCCCTAAAGGACGAAGGAAGGGAAATCAGGGAAGGCTTCACAGAAGAGATGCTTTAACTGTGTCTTTTTTCATGCTCCCCAAATGTAAGAAATAAATGTCAAATGGAGAAAAACAGGAAATACAGATAAGCAAATATAAAAAATAAACAACCAATTGGTCTATCACTGAGAAATAATGAAGGCTAACATGTTGAGGGTTGTGTATGTGGGGTGGGGTGGGGTGTGTGTATGTAAGTCTAGGAGGGTATTATATGTGTGTCTACATATAAACACACATTTTTTTGAGACAGGATCTCACTCTGTTGCCCAGGCTGGAGTGCAATGGCACAGTAATAGCTCACTGTGGCCTCGACTTCCTAGGCTCAAGCAATCCTCTCACCTCAGCCTCCTGAGTAGCTGGGACTCAAGGCATGCACCACATGCCCAGCTAATTTTTTATTTTTTGTAGAGATGAGGTCTCCCTATATTGCCCAGGCTGGTCTCAAACTCCCAGCCTCAAGCAACCCTCCTGCCTGGTCCTCCCAAAGTGTTGGGATTACAGGCGTGAGCCACCACACCCAAGAACACACACATTTTTAACAAAAATGATATACTATTCTATTTTACAGCATGTTTCTTTTCATTTAACACTATATAATAAACATTTTTCTATGACAGTAAATATTAATATATAACAATAGCTAATACTTTTGACCGAGCACAGTGACTCACGCCTGTAATCCCAGCACTTTGAGAGGCCAAAGCAGGAGGACTTCTTGAGGCCAGGAGTTCAAGATCAGCCTGAGCAACATAGCGAGACCCCATCTCTACGAAAAATTTAAAAACTAACAAATAAATAAAACATAATAGCTAATATTTTTATTTTTATTTTTATTTTTTTGAGGCAGAATCTAGCTCTGTTGCCCAGACTAGAGTGCAGTAGCGTGATCTCAGCTCACCACACCCTCCGCCTCCTGGGTTCAAGTGATTCTCCTGCCTCAGTCTCCCAAGTAGTTAGGATTACAGGTGCCCACCACCAAGCCTGGCTAATTTTTATCTATTTTTTAGTAGAGACAGGGTTTCACCATGTTGGCCAGGCTGGTGTCAAACTCCTGACTTCAAGTGATCCATCCGCCTGGGACTCCCAAAGTGCTGGGATTACAGGCGTGAGGCACTGCACCTGGCCTAGCTAATACTTCTAAGTAATTAAATGTTCACAGCAACCTGATGGGATAGATACAATTACTATCCCTGTTTCATAGATGAAAAAATTGAGATACAGAGAGGGTAAGGAACTTTCCCAAGGTCACATAGTTAGTAAGTGACAGATTTGAAATTCGATCCCAGTAAGCCTGGTCCAGAGCCTGTGCTTTTAACCACTAATATATATGCCATAATTTTAAAAGGCTGACTAGAAGTCCACTATATGAACGTATCATAATTTCACCCATCCACTATTGTTAGGTAAACGGCCTTGAAGATTGAGTAGGAGTTCTCCAGAAGAATGGAAATAAATTTCAGACAAAAGAGCCATGAATAAAGTTACAGAGTTGTCAAACAGCATGCCATATTTAAGGACCACCACTGGTATGGCTGAGGCATATGGCATGAATGGTAACAACAAGGAGATTGTAAAGGTAAGTAAGGTCAGATCACGAAGGACAAATTTGATAGGGCAAAGCCTGGAGTTAGGAGGACCAGTTAAAACGTTATTACCCAACAATGGAATATTATTCAGCCATAAAAAGGAAAGAAATTCTCACATATACTACAACATGGATGAAATTTTGAGACATTATGCTAGGTAAAATAAGCCAGACACAAAAGGGCAAATATTGTATTATTCCATTTATTAAAAGTACCTAGAAATGCTTAGGTACTGTTGGTGGGAATGTAAATTAGTTCAGCCGTGGTGGAAAGCAGTACAGAGATTTCTCAAAGAACTTAGAACTCAATTCGACCCAGTAATCCCATTACTGAGTATATATCCAAAAGAAAATAAATTGTCCTACCAAAAAGAGACATGCACTTCTATGTTTAATGCAGCACTATTCACAATAATAAAGACATAGAATCAACCTAGGTGCCCATCAATGGTGGATTGGATAAAGAAAATGTGGTACATATACACCATGGAATACTATGCAGCCATTAAAAAAAGACCAAAATCATGTCCTTTGCAGCAACATGGAATCAGCTGGAGGCCATTATCCTAAGCAAACTAACGCAGACCAGAAAACCAAATACCACACGTTCTCACTTATAAGTGGTAGCTAAACAATGGGTACTCAGCCGGGCGCGGTGGCTCACGCCTGTAATCCCAGCACTTTGGGAGGCCGAGGTGGGCGGATCACGAGGTCAGGAGATCAAGACCATCCTGGCTAACATGTTGAAACCCAGTCTCTACTAAAAATACAAAAAAAATTAGCCAGGCGTGGTGGCGGGCACCTGTAGTCCCAGCTACTCGGGAGGCTGAGACAGGAGAATGGCATGAACCCGAGAGGCAGAGCTTGCAGTGAGCCGAGATCACACCACTGCACTCCAGCCTGGGCGACAGAGCGAGATTCCGTCTCAAAAAAAAAAAAAATGGGTACTCATAGACATAAAGATGGCAACAATAGATACTGCGGACTACTGGGTGGGGAGGGAGTGGGGCAAGGGTTGAAAAACTATTGTGCACTCTGCTCTGTACCTGATTGCCAGGATCAATTGTACCCCAACCTCAGCATCATGCAATATAGCCAGGTAACAAACCTGCAAATGTACCCTCTGAATCAAAAATAAATGTTGAAATTATTTTTCAAAAAGTACCTAGAATAGGTAAATTCATAGAGACAGAAAGTAGAATGAGGTTACCAGGGGGTGAGAGAAGGCAGAATGAGAAGCTATTATTTAATGGGTACAGAGTTTCAGTTTGGGATGATGAAAAAAATCTGGAAATGCATAACAGTGATGATTGTACAACACTGAGAATGCACTCAATGCCACTGACTTGTACCTTTAAAAATGGTTAAAATGGGGCCGGACACAGTGGCTCACGCCTGTAATCCCAGCACTTTGGGAGGCCAAGGCGGGTGGATCATTTGAGGTCAGGAGCTTGACACCAGCCTGGCCAACATGGTGAAACCCCGTCTCCACTAAAAATACAAAAATTAGCCAGGGGTGGCGTGTGCCTGTAATCTTAGCTACTCAGGGGGCTGAGGCAGGAGAATTGCTTGAGCCTGGGAGGCGGAGGCTGCAGTGAGCAGAGATCACACCATTGCACTGCATCCTGGGTGACAGAGTGAGACTTCGTCTCAAAAAAAAAGGTTAAAATAGTCAATATTATATTATGCATATTTTACCACAATTTTTTTTAACAGGCTGCTGCCCAAAAGGGAAGTGATTAGGAACTGAATGGAGATAGAGAGGGCAGGACCAACTTAAGAAATTTTAAGAACTAGACAACAAATTTGGTGACTGAATGTGGAGGTGAGGAAAAAGTAGCTCTTAGGTGTCTGGGTAGATAGGAGTGGCATTATAAGTTTCCTCTTATAGGTAAGGAAACAAAGTCCCCAGAGCACAAAGTAATTTGTCCAAAGTCACAGTTTGTTAATAGCAGAAAGAACTGAGATGCCAGACATCTGATTGGAATTCAGTATTCTTTCCACAACATAATATATCTGAAAAGAATATTATATTTGTGTAGTATTCTTTAATTTATGAAGTTTTTGCATACATTATTCCACTTGATACTGATAAAAACCTATGAATTAGACGAGGCAGTTATTATCATTTTCTTGATGAGTATACTTAAATAGAATAAGAAAATTTATGCAACACCTTGAAATCCTTAGACAAAGATGTAATTTTTATCTGTTGGATTAAAGGGGAGCCTTCAAGTGGGAGGCAAAGAGAGTCAAATGATAAACGTGTTGGGACTATCACGGCTGCTGGATGTAGTAGGTATTGAAGGGAATACAGGACTAGAAATAGAAGTGGTTTGGGTAGTTTCCAGGGCTGCCACATTGTGTAATTCCATGTCATAATTTTTACAGACTGTGGCTGCTGCCCACTAGATTTGTACAATGCAACAGCCATGGATGAAATAAGGTAGGAGTCTCAAACCTGCAAATCGGGATCTACTGGTAGATCTAGACACCTCACCTCCTATAAAGCTCCATGCTGGCTCCCCATAATGTCTTCTCTCTGCTACATGTCTCAGCTAAGATTCCCATTGGGAAAGGAAGAACAGCACAGCCAGCAACTACTTCTCAGGAACTATACTGTCAGTATCTGCCCTGATCTCATGACTCTGAGATTAAAAGAAGCTCCTCCTTATAACAAGGTTGGACATCACCATAATAAAAGATTGGGAGGAGACAAAGGTAGTCTGGTATGATCATTTCTACTTTTCTGGTGGAAAAAATTTCTTAAAAGCACCTGAATAAGCAGCTATGCATGATGGCTCATGCCTGTGTACTCCTAGCACTTTGGGGAGGCTGAGGCAGGAGAATCACTTGAACCCAGGAGTTCAAGACCAGCCTGGGCAACAAAGTAAGATCCCGTCTCTACAAAAAAAAAATTTTAAAAATTAGCCAGGCATGGTGGCACATGCCTGTGGTCCTATCTACTTGGAATGCTGAAGTAGGAGGATTGCTTGAGCCCAGGAGGTTGAGGCTGCAGTGAGCTGTGATCGTGCCACTGCACTCCAGCCTAGGCAATAAAGCCAGACCCTGTCTCAAAAAAAAAAAAAAAAAAGTGCCTGAACAATACTGTCAAATGTTCTTAGAGCATTATTATACTTACATTAAATCCAAAGGTAACAAGAAAAAATACAGGTCATAACAGGTATTCATTTGACAATCCATTCATGCTTTAAGCCATGTTAAGAGAGTACTAACACAGGTTACAAACAATACTTACTACATAAGCTTCTGACCAAGTTGAGTTTAGGTAAAATAGAAAACTGGGACACAAGTGGTCTAGCCAGATGCTTCAAATATAGAAGACAATCTAAAACTGACCAGATGCTTCAAATGTAGAACATAACCTAAGCCAACCATTGGTAGCTCTCAGATGCCCACGTCAAGTAGCTGCAGTTTAGTTTCTCTTTCTCATATTTAGACAAGGAAAACACACTACCATTAAACGCAACTAGAAACAAAAGACAGGCAAATGTATTGTTTTGCTTGAAGACATTTCTGATGACATTCTACCAACTATCACAGAATGTATTTATTTCTCTTTCCTTTACTAACCTCCTTTTATTTCTCCCAACCTTTCCTTGGACTTCCTACTGGCACTTCATGTGTACATTGCTTAACTGATACAAGGGTTACTGACCCCAACCACTCTGTAAATATCAGTTTGTTGCCTATAGAGTTGTGTCACTGAGAAAACTTACTATAAAATTCTAAACTTAAACAAATTAGAGTAGAGATGAGATCAAACCAAGGCAGTATGACCCCAAAGCCCCAAACCCTCTCCAGAACAGTGTATCCAAAGGACTTTTAGACAGACTTAAATAGTTCTTCAAAGCATTCAAAAGATGGTCTGCATCTATCACTTGCAGTGCTCCTCCCCAACATAAAATCTCTACTACAATCAAGCAAGTCCCTTCACTGATTGCCATATAGTCCATGCTCTTATCATTTATTTCTATGACTTTGTTTAGAACTGGTCCCCTCACCTAGAATGTTTTCTTGCACATATTTAAGTTCTATTACTTCACTAGTCT